>NC_000001.11:206972465-207123980 GCF_000001405.40 Homo sapiens
TGACTTTGTTTGTTAAACATACACACATGAGAGTAAAAACCAGTAAACAGAAAGCTAACCCAAGAAAGAAAAGCTACTTGTGCTGTAAAACAGTCCATATGGATCTCTTTCTTCTCCAAAATGTGCTTTCTAATGTGTAATGAAGAGCAGTGGACAGAGGTGCTTTAGGTTCCCACGTGGCTCACCCAATCCTGTCCCTTTCCTTGGTAGTCAAGACTTATCCTCCTTATATGTTGTGGTAGCTTTCTGCTCGCTGTACCCACTTTGTAAGCTTTTTCTACCCTTCTTGGCTGCTGGAAAGGCACATTTTCCCTCCTAGCTCAGGTAGAATACCAAGTATTGAAGAAAACATTATTTAAAAACATCTGCCTTTGTACAAGTCCTCGGTTACTTACTTAGAAGCTCACAAAGGAAGGTGAACTTTAGACTTGTCAGTCCTCCAAATGACAACGGAAGAAAGTATTTGTATAGCACAAATAATCATTTTATAATGGCATTTAGCAAGCTTTTATAACCTCAACCACCATTTACCTGATAGCAAAGCTTGCAGTTCAAAATATTCAACCCCTAAACACAGGAGGCATTCCAAAGGCAGTTAGTTGAGTGCTGAGACAGTTTAAGTTCATGTACAGACTATTGGCAAAAGCACAGAGTAAAGAATCCCAGGAGATTATTTCATAGATGGGAGCATATTAGCCTAAGACTTTAGCTGTAGCTCATTCTAGAATGTTGGTATGAATTGCTGTTGGAAAACATGATCAGCACCTCTTAGCATAATCTTTCTGGAGTGACTTGAGTCTGGAAATGGAAATGAATATGTTTCTTACTGGTTAAGATTATTTGGTTAGGATGCTATTTTGAATACACATTCTCCTGTGATAATGAATCTCTGGTCCTTGCAGGATGGAGGGGCCCCAAAAAAGTTAACTTGCCACTAAGGAGGCTATTGGTCTCTGTCTCCTCAAAGAATGGTGCTATTTGCGGGGGCTCAGTGTTCATCTCTGTTGCTGGTAGGTTGAATGTTTGATAGCAACAGTAACTAACTCAGTGTTGATTAGTGGGAGCCTATACTGCTTGCTGGGCCCATGCATAGCCTCTATCCTTCTGACAATGCACCTTCCTTAATGTGTCCACTGCATTAGTACCAGGGTGGCCGATGGCTGAAGCTGGCTGATGTCAGAAAGCCAATCCATTCTGTCAACTTGGCAGTTAGTGGTTCTTCCATGGTGGATTCTCTCTGCTGAGCTTTAGCACAGGTTACAAAGATCTTCACACTTCCTGCCCGCTCCCTTGTCCCTCCATGTTCCACTACCCCCACCTTTCACTCTGTATGTATTCTAACATCAGGCCAGTTTTCCTTTCACACAAAATAGATGACCAGGTGCACTGTCCAAGCTCTGTCCCTTGGATGGACTTTCTCCTGACTCTGTCTTTTAAGATCATTCCTTGTAGTACACCTGCTATCCACTTTCGAGTTGAACCAAACCAACTCATCTATAAACCAAGCTTGGGTTTTTCACCTGTCTGCCATTAGCTATCAAGTATGCTCTTCTGTGGCCCTTATGAGCCTGGGGAGGGGCACTTGTGCAACAGTGGTAGTTATTATGAGGGTCCAGGCTGCCTGCTTATGCAGCTTGCTGTACTCTCAGTTTCTTGTGCTTGATCCCAGCTAAAGCACTTATAAGTCATGATGAATTGCCTGACCTTATGACTTGGTGGGTGTAATAACTCTTAGCTCATGATGGGTAGTTCCAGATGCATACTCATTTGGTATCCTGTGTTCAGGTACTGTGTCTCAACTAGGACTCAGTATCACACCAGGAGTTATTTTTCAAAAGGCACGTGATGCTCCCCTGCAGATGCCATGGCCTTGCAAAAGAGTCTTAGGGGACCACGTGACTAGGTAGTGATTCTTCCACTAGGGCTTGCCATAAGCTCTGCACAGCATCTTTTCCCACCACCTAGGCCTCTAACACTAGTGAGTGCAGGGCTGCTTACAGCTAAGCCTGGACCTGCTGCAGAGGCTTTTCCTGCTCTGGGCCCCACTCAAAGGTAGAAGCCTTTCATGCCGCTAGGTGTATGGGCCAGAGCAGTATTTCCAGCTGTGGAATATGCTGCCTCCAGAACCAAAGAGGTCTATCAGATGTGTTGCTTCCTTCACTGTGGTAGGAGGTGCAAGGTGTAATGCCTTGTCTTTTACTTTGGGTGGGATTTCTTGGCAGGCTCTTTATCACTGGACTCCTAAAAATATTACCATGTGACAGGTCCCTGAATCTTCACAGGTTTGCCTCCATCCTCTGATCCACATGTCTTACAAAGGCCTCCAAAATATAGCCACTTCTTGTTCATGTAGCCTGACTAGCATGAAAGCATCAAATAAGGGGTCAATGTGACATTTTTTAGGATATCTAGATGATGTTGATTCCTTTGGACTATATTATGACAGAGGACAGGGAAGTTAACATAGCCCTGGGGCGAAACTATAAATATGTATTGTTATTTGCCTGTATAGATGCGGATGGTTTCTAACTCTCTTCTCTGAAGGGAATAGCAAGGAATGCATTCACCAAATCAAGGCTGCATGCCATGTACCTGAGGCTTTGCCAATCTGCTTGTAGCAGGTAGACAGACACAGTGGCTGAAAATGGGGTTACTCTTTGGTTGAGTGTGTGGTTCTTTACTGTCATCCTGCAGGGTCCACTTGGTTTCTGCAGGGAACAACTATTGAATTAAATTGAGATATCATGGGAACTGCCATTCTTGTATCCTTTCGATTCTTATGGGTGATACTAATATCCAGAATTACCCCCAACACACGATATTGTTTTATATTCACTATCTTGGCTGGGGATGGGGCAGTTTCAGATGCTTCACTTGGTCCTACAGTGATAGTTCTGAGCCCACAGGCCTAAGATCCAATGATCCAAGTAGCAAGTATATGAATCCCAATTACACATTCAGAGACTGGAGAAATTACCACTGGGTGTAAGCTGGACCTTGGCCAGGACTTTACTTATTACCTCGCTCCCACATGCCCCACTAGTTAGAACAGTAGCCATGAGGATGCTTTGATTCTCTGGGCAACATGCCAGCTTGGTACAGTTATCTGGGTAAATGATCCTGGGTCCCTTTGGGAAGGGCTTATGGAATCTTTACTTTGTATGTTTGCTGGGGTGTTGCAGGGTTCTTTCTCCCAGAGACCTGACTGAGTTAAAGTCTGAAAACTGGTTCAGATCCAGAAAATGCCAAAGGATCATGACATTGTATTGGGGCTACTGCTTTCAGACTCCTTGTTATCCATCCTTGACTTCTTCTAGTGGTCTAAACTAAGAAACACTCTTGTTGGTTGAGTATCTATTTTGCCTCTAGGGGAACAGTGTTCCTTTAATCATCTCCGTAACTCTGTGGGTCAGGCCTTCTTGGCTGCCAATCCAACCCCATTGCTCATTGTAATAACTTCATCCACCTGGCTTCTGCAGTTAAGTGCCACCACCTGGCTTCTTTAGCTCTGGGCCTATCATCACCATTGGTGTCATTGAGTCAAATTCTCTACCTGGTTGGGTGCAGTGGCTCGCGCCTGTAATCCCAGCACTTTGGTAGGCCGAGAGGGGCGGATTGCCTGAGGTTAGGAGTTCGAGACCGGTCTGGCCAACGTGGTAAAACCCCATCTCTACTAAAAATACAAAAAAAAATTAGCCAGGCATGGTGGCGTGCACCTATAATCCCAGCTACTTAGGAGGCTGAGGCAGGGGAATCGCTTGAACCAGAGAGGTGGAGGTTGCAGTGAGCTGAGATTGCACCACTGCACTCCAGCCTGGGCGACAGAGCAAGACTCTGTCTCAAAAAAAAAAAAAAAAAAATTCTCTACCTACCTTTCTAATCATCAATCCTGGCTTACCAAGGAGATTCCCAACTGATCTTTTCAGTCATGCTATTGTCCTTCTCACTAGATCATTCCTTTTGGGTTTTGTAAATGGTATAGTCTCTGGCCTTTCTCATAGAATGGAATCATCTGGTAGGCCTTCCAGCCTCATGGTGTGTCCACTCTAGCATGCTGACTTCCCTGAGCTTTTTTATTTCTACGTCTACTCTCTGCTGGGGTAGTGCTGGCATTTCAATCACATCGAGCTTGGGCCATCACTTTCTCCCTGCTTTCAGGAGCCATTTGAGCAGGAAGGCCACATCACCTACTGGGGTCCTTGCTAGGGTGTCAAATCCTGTATCTCTGGAGAGTGATCCCAAATCAGTAAACTCTTCCCTGTCCTACCTGATGCTCCCAGCTCCTTGATCCAGCATCTTCAGGATCCAGTCCTGCTTGAACTCCTCTGACTTTTGCTGGTGTAGTCTGGCTAGGACTAGCAGCTCATTTGAGGTCTTTTCTTCCATTATCAGACCCAGCACATACTCAATTGGGTTATGCTATGACATACCCCTAGTTATAAACCTAGTTACAAGGAGCAGAGATGGTGGAGAGAGGCCTGTGTATTGTCTTCAAGTAAGGTGGGGGAGGGAGAGTTGGGAAGGGAGAGAGTAGTTAGCTCTTAATAGGAACAGTTGGGCAAATCCTGCAGGATCAGAAGATTTAAAAGAATCTGGGAGTACAACATTTGGGGTTCGTCTGCTCAGATGTTCCCACCCAAGTTCCAGAGTCCGAGTGCCCTCCAAATGTCTCCATTATCTTTAGACTTAAGCCTGTAAGTGTCCATGAAATAGAAAGGGCAGAGCCAACCTTTCTTTATAGAGAGATTGTTGTGTGCCTTGCCCAACTTGCCTGAAATCATACAGAAGCCAGTAACAAGGGGGTACTCAAGGACCATTTTCCTACCAAATACTGAAAGAAGCAAATCTCCAGATTTGCTGCAATGGGACAGGCTCCATAATGATGAAGAATTTCATCTTGATTTAAGTTTAAGTTATAAATAAGTGCGTTTAAGCACTACATTGACAAAATTGCTTAATTTAAGAAGGCAAAATATCTTACTATCTTCAGAGATCATTACGCTTAATCTTTCACTCACTTTTTAAAATGGATCCTACACAAGAATGCCCTAGGAAATGGTGAAGTTCCACTCTATATTTCAAAAGCTGACACATAGGATCCCCAGTGTTCCTGGGGTCATCTCCTTCCTAACTGTTCAATTCATGGAGCTGAGCTTCATATTGAAAGAGAGAAGAGAAAGGGATCTTGCAGTTCCACCTACTTTGGCATGGGAGTTTTCCTCTCTAAAAGGAAGACCTTCCTTTCTCTTTAACAAATCTTTATCAGGCACCCACAGACTACAATGCTAGGAATGTTAGGGAGTGTAGTAAGACATATATACACGGTTACTGTCCTCAAAAAATTTAGTACCTAATTGGGAAGGAATAGGAAAACTCAAATATCAAAGCAGGTCTCACATATTCAAAAAAATAAAATCTCCAAAGAGTGAGAGAAATTAATGGCCCAAAGACGTTAGGAAAGGGTTCTCACGGAATCGTAAATTCTCATAGAATCACAAAGTAGGAGACCTTAGAAGTGACCTAATTCAAGTCTCTACTGAATACACAGTATCTTCAGAGACTTCTTTTAAAAGTAGGCATTCAGTCTTAGTTTGGTTATCTCCAGGGACAGGGAACTCACTCAAGTTAATTTCATTTTCAAATAGTTCTAATTTTTAGGAAATTCTAATTGAGAAAAATCTAATTTCTTTTAATTCCTGCCTATTGGCACTACTTACATCTTCTGAAAGGAGAAATACAGGATTAAATCTACTCCTGCTTCTCTCAGTAGCCTTTGAAATAGTTCTCCAGAGTCTTCTGTTTGTTCACCTTGTTAAATCAGGTTTAGCCTAAAGCTGCCTCCTTACATATTTTAAGTTTGGCCTAAGGGTTTCTCTGTACATTGTGAACTCTAACAAGTGGAAGTGTAAACAGACAGTAGCCTACACTTGTGCTAATTACCGACTTTTGGCCAATTAAATGTAGCCAACTGTTTGAACCGCGTTCAAATAAGGCAAACGCTGAGCTGTAACCTATCCAGTTGTTTCTGTAACTCACTTCCGTTTCCTTGTATGTCACTTTCCTTTTCTGTCCATAAACCTTCCACCATGTGGCTGTGCTGGAATCTCTGAGCCTATTCTGGCTCAGGAGGTTGCTCGATTCACAAATCGTTCATTGCTCAATGAAACTCCTTCAAATTTAATTCAGCTAAAGTTTTTATTTTATCAACCTAAACATTTCTCATACCTTTGAACTAAAATCATAGAATATTATTGATGCAAATAGCCATCTTTTGTTACATTTTCTATTTTCTGCCAATGCCCATGCCTGCCATGATCTCATTTAGGCATTGCAATGACCCCATAAGTCAGATGGTATTACTATCCCTATCATATGGATAAGAATTCTGGAGCCTCAGGGAAGTTCAGCCTCCTCTCACCATCTGAGTTGTTCCTTCTAGATGAATTTGTCAATGTGTCTTGAAAGCATCTGGGAACTGAGCCTGTAGGTAATGGTTTTTTGAGCAGGATGGTGGCGGTAGACAAAATGTACTGGAAGGAAAACATTTGGAAAAATGAAAACCTTTTAAGAAACAGTGAAAATAACCAAAGGTGATAAGGTTGGGATGGCAGTGATAAGTAGCACAAGGTCAGGTTGATTACTCTAGTGTTAGGGAGCAAGCAGATGGTGGGGTAGAGAATGAGAAAAGATATGGGGATTAATTTAATGAGTCTTCAAGTATTTATCAAGAAGGTACTATGCACCAGGCACTTTGCTGGGTGCTGGAAAGGGATAGTGAACAAAACAGACACATCCCTTGATTGATAGTCTGCTGGGGGAGAGGAACATTAAGCCAATTAGCATAGCAAGAACTATATACAATATAAGTGATTTAGAAGTATTGGTAGGTATTAGGAAGGGAAAGAATAGGGCTCTAAGGAAGCAATCTGGGATCATTCTGGAATAAGAGAATGTGCTATGTGACCTTAAGATTAGTTGGCCATTCTGGTGGTGAGAAACCCATCTCCCAGTTCTAAGTGATACGCTCCAAGTTTGGCCAACTGTCCAGCACTCACCAGCTTCTGACTGGACTCAGAGTGAGAATCTGGTTTTAGATGGCGCCTGACTTGAAGCACCCTCTAGTGTTAAGGAAAGGAAGGTAACAGCCTGAAAGAGAGGGAATTGGGGAAAGACAAAAGAAATGAAATTGAGACTTGTTTTGGGAACAGGTGGGCTGAGGAGAAGCCCCAGAGGCCTGTGTTAACAGTGTTGGAGTTGGGCTTTACAGAGTGTGTCCCTGCACCCCAGCTGAGAAAGCAATGATGAGCCAGGAACAATTCCACTGATCTACGTGGTTTTACTCATTTACTCTTATGAGAAATTACTAGTAGAACCCTATACTACAGGTCTGGAAACTGTGACACAGAGGCTAAATAATTTCTCTAAGGTCACATAGCATGTAAGGGGGTAAAGAACAGAGCCAAGAACCAGTGTCACTATGAAAAATGGCCCTGGCAGATCTCTCTATCCCAGTGCAGGTTTGAGATGATTTAGATGTGCTTAGCTGAGCTTTTCTTTGCAACAGCTTGCCTGGGGGCTGATAAAGAAATTCAAACAGATGTGATAAGCTGTGCTACCTGTTGCTGGGCTGATGCTGTAGACAAATCCTAATGTCTCAATGGCTTAGCACCGCAGACTTTATTTCTCACTCAAATGAAGTCCCATGGGGGGTGGCAAGGGCTCTCCAAACCACCTCTCAGGGACCAAGCTTCCTCTGTCTTGTGGCACTGCCCTCTCAACACTTGGCCTCTAAATTTACTGAGTCAGGGAAGGAAGGGAGGGAGGAGGTACACTGGCTTCATCCCAGAATTGTCACACCAAACTTCCACTGTTAATTAGCCTGAATTAGTCACATGGACCCAACTTAACTGCAAAGGATGGTGAGGAAATGGAGAGACATGGATTATTAGGAGAACACTAAGGGTTCCCTAAAATGGAGCTGACTCCAGAGCCCAGCAGCAGACCAGCAGAGGCAAGGAAAAAGTGGATGAGCATAAGCAGTGGTTCATTCCCTCCCCTACCCTGGAAAGCGAGAAAACACTCGTCGGACTGTGGGAGAACACAGCCTGTCCTTGCCTTGGGTCAGCCTGTTTTAGCTTTTCCACTCCGCCCCTGTCCCAGGGAAAAAGGAGGAAAGTTGGGAAAAGGGTCACTCCACAGAGCAATGAGAAGTTGCACTTAGTTTCTGAAAGGGGAAGAAAAAATAATCTTTCATCTCTTGGATGTGTGGGGAGACAGTGACTGGGGAGAGAGCAGAGACACTTGAGCCCCTGGAAGTTCAGTCTGAAAATCTAATCCCTGAGGAATTTGCTGTCCTTCCTCCTTGTGGGGTGTGGCTCCTGTGGTCCCCACCTCCTGGTGTTTATGCCCCTGTGTATTCCCTTTCTTGGGTGTTGGTGAGACCTGTGACTTACATTTAACCAGTAGAATACAGCAAAGGTGATGAGAAGTCACTTCTGTGGTTAAATACAGAATAAGAAGATTGTAACGCCCATCTCTTGCAAGGAGATTCTGTCCCTTGCTGGCTTCGTTGAAGCTGGCTGTCATGTTGTGAGCTGCTCAGTGGAGAGAGTCATGTGGCAAGGAATGGAGGGCAGCCTTTGGCCCACAGGCAGCAAGAAACTGAGGCTTTCAGTCTGGTCACCCACTAGGACCTGAATCCTACCAATCATCACGTGAACTTGGAAGTGGATTTTTCCCCAGTTGAGCTCTCAGATGCAAACCCAGACCTGGCTGACAACTTGACTGAAGGCTTGCAGAGGACCCAAAGCTGTGCCAGGACTGTTGACCAAAAGAAAGCAGGAGAGAAATGTGTGTTGTCCTAGGCTGCTGACTCTATGGTAATCTTGGTGTGCAGCAATAGATAAGTAATGCATGGGGTTCGGAAAGTGTGAGAGGGAAGCACATTGGTTTCCTAGGGCTGTCATAACTAAGCACTATAAACTGGGTGGCTTAAAACAGCAGAAATCTATTCTCACAGCTCTGGAGCTAGAAGTCTGAAATCAAGGTACTGGCAAGGCCATGGTTCCTCTGAAGCATCTAGGGGAGGATCCATCCTTGCCTCTTCCACCATCTGGTATCTCCAGGCATTCCTTGGCTTATGGCAACATCACTCCAGTCTCTGCCTCTGGCTTCACATGGCCATCTTCCCCGTGTGTCTCTGTCTTCTCCTTTTCTTATAAGGATATCATATGGGATTAAGGGCCTGCCGTACTCCATGTCACCTTATCTTAATTACATCTTCAATGATCCTATTTCCAAATAAGGTCATTCTGAGGGACTAGGGGTTAGGACTTCATCATATCTTTTTTGGCACATTTCAACCCATAACAAGAAAAAAAAAATAGAGAGAAGAGCTGACAATTGAAGAATCTTTCGGAAAACAAGCACCTTCTTGATGGGCCAGGTGAACATATCCATGCAGCCTGCACATTCAGCGCAAGGATGAGGGTCTTTGCAGGTGAGGATCTCAGAAACTGCAGGGAGCGGACCCTTCCCTTCTCTCCAGGAGCTGCTTGAAATTTGTGAACAAAAGCCTAACTTCACCAGCTGAGAGAATACCCATCCAGAGAATGGCTTTCCCCACAGCTGCCAAAAGGGTTGCGTGGCCTGCCTCATGGCAGGGGGTGGCCAGATGATCCTGTATTCTAAGTCCTTGCATTCTAAGGTACTCTCATTCCATAGTTTGGTGCTGTATTTGGAAGCCTGTCCTGGGTTAATGAATGGACCCTTTTCTCTGTCTCAGATACTGGAAGGGCCCAAAAGCTACAATACGTTTTCAACTATGGGCAGCTGCTGCCACCTTGTGCCAGAAAGACTCCATGGCTAGAGTGACCAGGGACCTCAGATCAGGACACTATGAAGGGGCACTTCTAATAATTGTTCTGGGGCAGCAGGTGTAAATCGGGATTGTCCCAGGGAAACATATGGTCACCCCTGGGGAATGCAAGGGAACAACAGGATTTGCAAGGATTTTCCCAAGAATAAATTTGAGTTTTCCAAAATGTTCTACTTTTCTACATTTACTCTCAGCATGAAGCTTCCTGTGTCACCTATGGTGGCCATCACACCTCATGCGAGGTTAACAATACGTGAAAGAGTTCTGAATTCCTCTGGCACAAAGAAGAATGAATTTCCAACTATGCCTACTAAGAGAAAAAAGTCTTTTTCTACATTGCTTTTGAACACAACGTACCCCAAACACATGTAAAGCTTTGTTCTGACTTTAAGGATGCATTTTAAATCAATAAAGGAACAAAAAGCCCAGAAAAGGCCTAACTCTCTCTCTCTCTTTGTGTGTGTGTGTGTGTTTGGTGCTTTCAAAATTGACATATTACTCAGATATGGAAAAATAAAAGTAAAATTTTTGTCTTATAATTGTTTAGTGTGGGTGCTAATTTCTGTTGGTAGCAGGGATGAGGTGATATTGCCAAGATATTTTAAATGTACCAATTAATAGAAAGTTAATCTCCATTGCTCAGATCTGTTTTAGGTAAAGCAGCTAATTCAAAGCTCAGACTCTAGACAGCTTGAAGGGATCTCTCCTACCCCTTCTCAAGATGGTGTCTGGGTGCAGTGGTATTGCTCAGATGTCCTTGATTCTCCCTACCCTCATTCTGAAATGCCCCTCATTCTTCTTGGTGATGAAGATGCCACTGGTTTGATCTGGTCCATGGGCATCATAGTGGCATCTGCCCCCCACTATGCATACACGCGGGTCCTTGCCATTGCCTCTGGTGACAAGAGCTCCATACTCTGAGCTTCCTTAGGAACTTGGGTCTTTTCTGCTCTCTCAGCTGTCATGCATCTCAGTGGGGTGCCGGAAAACTCTAGATTGCTTTCTCTCCAATATGCTGTTGTGTGTGGACCCTTGAAGTCTGCCCTCAGCATGTGCCTGTAATTGCTAGTTCCCCTTTCTTGGATCATGTTGGATGCAGCATCCCCTGCAGTGGAGGGTTTCTCCACAAAGTCTATGGTTTCCCCAAGCTCTGCCCAGTCTGTGAAGGACAGCAGCTCCTGAAGTTCTTAGACTGTCCCAAATTTATCTTGGGGGTGGTTTTATCCAAGATGCACCCTCCTGCCCTATAACACCTCTTGTTAATGTTCCATCCTGGGGTGAGAAAGGGAGCCAGAACATTTCAGGTCACCCTTTGCCCCTTTTTTCCCCCTCACCCACCCAGATCCTAATCCCAGCATTAGAAGGAACTTCTTCCTTCCTCAATGGTGAGGGCTTCACTAACATCATATTTCATGTTCTTCTCTGATCAATGGTCAATAATCTGTTCTATGATTAGTTCTCTAGCTAGCTGAAAATCCTCTCACTTTTTTTTTCAACATTCTCAAGATAGCCTAGAAAATGAAATAGGAGCTCCCCTATATTTGATGGTTCTCCCCTCCCCATGAAGCTCTGGATGCCATCAGTTCAACATTTGGGGGTCACAGGTTAATCAGAGCCTAGGATTTACCAGGTTAATATCTGAAAACATATTATTATTTTACAGTGAGAATTGCGTATTTGATAAATGTCATCAGATAGTATTAAAGGAAAAATAGTCTTAGCTAGCAATTTAGAAAATAAATTGCTCTGATTAGTTGCTAAAAAAATTCCAGATGGATTAAACAATTGAAGAAAAACCAAATTATTTTTAAAAACTAGCAGAAAATGGAAGTAAATATGTATCCTATCTCTAAAGGAGTAATTTTCTAAGTTTTAAAATCATATAAGAAAGAACATAGGAAAAGAGAAATTAAAATACTTTTTAAAAATTTGCCCCTCAACAATATATAAAAAGGAAAACAAAAGACTTGGAAAATATTTCCAGCACATATGAGTCAAGGAATGTTACATGGTTATATAACAGAAACTGTTATTCATTGCAGATTAAACTGATGCCTTAAGAAAGCAATTTGTCATCTGAGCGTGGTGGCTCACGCCTGTAATCCCAGCACTTTGGGAGACCCAAGCAGGTGGATCATGAGGTCAGGAGTTTGAGACCAGCCTGAACAACATGGTGAAACCCCGTCTCTACTAAAAATACAAAAATTAGCCGGGCGTGGTGGCGCACGCCTGTAATCCCAGCTACTCAGGAGGCTGAGGCAGGAGAATCACTTGAACCCTGGAAGTGGAGGTTGCAGTGAGCCGAGATCGCGCCACTGCACTCCAGCCTGGGCGAGGGAGTGAGACTCCATCTCAAATACAATACAATACAACACAATACAATACAATACAATACAATACAATACAATACAATACAATACAATACAATACAATACAATACAATAGAAAAGAAAGCAATTTGTCAATATAATCCAAGAATCTCACTATTTGGAATTTATCCTAAGGAAATAATTTTAAAATAGGCACAAGTTAGCTATGCTTTTTATAATCACATTCATGTGACATTGTGATGATCATTAGACACATTTGACTCTCCCACCAGACAATGGGACATTGTGTTTTTTTCACCTCTGAATCAGCATGCTTAGTCTGGAGTCTGGCATAATTGTAGGTGGCAAATAAATGTTGCAGAATAATTATTTTGTTGTAGTATTTATATTATACTTAACAATTGAAACAATCTTAATTTTCAACAATAGGAGAATGACTAAATAAAATACAGTGTTGTCACTTGATGGAGATATTGTCAACTAAAATAATAATGAGTTCTCAGACATGGAAAACATTTTATATAATTGTAGCAAGTACGAATCTTAGAGTACATACTCAGTTGCAGCAAAAACGTAACTTTCTTTGATTTTCTATAGTAACATTTACATTCCTTTTCAAGCCCCGTTTTGACTAGTGGTCCACCCCGGTGTGTGTCCTGTTATGCTGATTCAGGGTAATCTCAGGCAATTCAAAGTCCTGTTGCCACGCCCTATTCCCAACTGCTTGCATTTTCCCTGGGGTAGTACCTAGTAGTTTGTCATTACCTGCTCCGATGGGCATCCACCAGGATGGGATGTCTATTGACTTCTTTCTCTTTGACCGTTGATCCATGCAGGACCTGGATTGTCCTCCGTTCCCTAATACAGAAGTTTTTCAGGCCAGCCTCTGACTTAGCCACATTCCATCTGCATCATCACATCACCCTGGCGCTGCGGGGAGTTCTGAGAGGTTGTCTTGGGTCCTCAGGTCCTAGCTGGGTCACCTGTAGCCTTTGCTGCTCTCATATGGTGCTAAGTAGAAGGACCTCTGTGACACATGTCATTTCCCTAGGCTCTTTTCATGGTGGGAGTTTAGGCCATATCCGTGGGGTTCCGGGGGTGCAGGCCGGGTGGGGAATGGACCCCAGGATATGCTCTTGCTCTTCTTTCTGATTCTCTGCAGCTCTGCCCTAGTTGGCAACTTTATCAAGGCTTTAGGGGTGAGGAAAGCTGGCTCTGACTGTTCATTTACTTCCAGATGCCTTTGTCTTTGGCCTGGATCTCAACTGTGAAATTCATAACCCAACATTTGATTGCTTTAATATTTGGTTCTGTTGTGACAACCCTTCAGAGACAGTCTAGGCAGAGCTAAGATGTGAAACACAACAGCAGAAGCCAAAATAAAAATGGAAGCCTAGATTAATGTATCAAAATATTAGTCTACTATAAAATGCAAAAATAAACAGAACCTCAGAACTTTGTTATAACTGTGTGAACGTTAGGTATAGGTATGGGCAAATACATGCAACAGGGAAAATCTTAAGCTAATTGTGTTAATCAAGAGAGAACGTGGATTTTTTTTCTTTAGCAAATTTCCTTCATATTAGTTATGTGTAAATACCAGCCATGTTGTTTGTGAAAAAGCTTAATCTATTTTACCTCCAATAATATAGCGCCTTCTTAGCCCCCTTATTTCCCATCTAATCTCCCATCAATCCCTGATGTGGCTTTTTCCTTCTAGTAAGGCCACTTCCCTTACCCAAAACCTGCTTACACCATCTTCCAAGACTTTGTTTAACCCAGTGGTTCTCAAACTTTAGCTACATCAGAATCCCCTGGAGCATTTGTTGAAATACAAATGGCTGGGCCCTGCCACCAGTTTTTCTGATTCAGTAGGTCTGGGATGGAGCCCAAGAATTTGCATTTCTAACAAGTTCCCAGGTGATGCCAATGTTGCCAGTTCAGGGACCACACTTTGCAAACCACTGGCTTAGCCACACCTTTTACCTGAAATGTTCCTTCTATTTGCCTTCTTCTTTCCTCTCTCCCTTGCTTTTATAAACACGTCATGATAACCTAACATGCATAACTGGCTTGAAGCACACCTTGAGGAGCTTTGGATAGTATTAACCGATTTATTCACGTATTTCATCCTACCTTTTTCTCAACAAAGTCTCAGAACTCTGATTATTTACTCTGCACCACCCCTACTACATATATAATACAGTCAGTGCTGTATTATTTTGGATTTATTAATGCATACCTTTGCAATTATTTCATGCAATTTTTCTCTCCCTAATCAGCCCTTTGAGGCTCAAACAGGCTATCGTTCTTTTCCTCCGTAGCAGGCACAGAACCAATGTTTGCTGATGGGGCTCACTGAAGGACAGGCATATCATTTATTAATAGAGCACTGGCTACAAAACCTGTCCCATCCAGCTGCTCTGCTCCACCCTTACTAGTCTTATGGAGTTTCCCCTCACCCTGTCCTTGTCGGGCAGTTTGCCTGTTCTCCTTTTGCAGTGAGTGAGTACCTCTCCCAATATATCCAAACCAATTCCCAGAGACAGCTGTACAGAGATAGGTGCAAACTACCATTTTAAAATGGATTTCATTATAAAAGTAATAATATCATTTCACAGTTGTATATTCAAAAATACACAAAAACCAAAGAAGTAAATTTAAATGTACCCATAACCCCACCACATCAAGACACACAGTTTTAATATCTCAAGGTTTATGTCTCACACATATTTTCCCACTAAATTAGACCAATCTGTAAGTACTGTTTTTCAACCCATGTTTTTTCATTTCCCAATATATCAAAGCTTATTTACTGATGTTATTAACCTTCTTTAATATCACTTTTAGTGGTTACAAAGCATTACATCATATACAGAGACTATAAGTTATTTAACAAACTCCTTAGTGGTTAATAACCAATCACTTGCTAATATAAATAATGATTCAGTGAATATCCTTATTCATTCCTCTTTGTATACCTGCCAGTGTTTTTCCCAAAATCACATTTCAATGGCTTTGATGCATATTGAAAAATTGCTAGCCAAAAACTTTACACTGCTCTCAGAGGTATATATAAAAGGCCTCTGCAAACCCTCACATGGTGCTCTCAAACTGTGGGACCTTGCCAATCTTATCAGTGAAGATGGTGTCTTCTTTTAATCTGAATATATTTCATCACTTGGGGAATGAATTTCAAATGACTGTTGATCATTTGTATTTCTTCCTCTGTGAATTGCCTGTTTTGAGTCATCTGCTTGGTTTTCTATTTTTTGTTTTTGTGACAGCAGACTAAGTTATATATTTCAATATGATCACCAAGACACAAGAGATAAATGACCCAGAGTGAGATGAGAGGCAGATGTGCAGAAAATTCTACAAAGAGAGCCAGTGAGGTGACTCTCTGCACTGAGGATGAGAGAGGGTGGTGGGTGGAGATGGGAGGTGGTAAGGCAGATTTCTTTGCAGAGAGCTGTGCTGAGACTGGCCTCCCTACCCCATTGAAGGAGGGGTGGTGCTTGCCCCTTGCCTCAAGTCTAGTGAGATGAGCTTCAGTTGACTGCTTAGAGAGTGTGTGTTCCCTGCCGCTAGGACAATAGCTGACTCCCCACTATGGTCATTAGGGAGGAGATGAGGCAGGTTACCTAGCTGCTTTGGGAGTAGAGTGAGCCAACCAGAGTTGCTGTTACCCTGAGATTGGCCTGCATCTCAGATTCTATCCAGGCAGAGAAAGTGAGCTTCCTGTGGACCAGAAGTGGAGGTGACTGATTCAGGAAGGGGAAACACACTGGAGCCATTTTCAATCCCACCCCAAACAACTTCTGCAGTAGGCAGAATAATCGCCCCCAAAGATGTTCCCATCCCAATTCCTGGAACCTGTTGATATGTCACCTTACCTGGCAAAAAAGACTTCCCAGATGTGATTAAGAATCTTGAGGTGGGGATATTGTCCTATTATTGGGGTGGTCCTGATGTACTCACAAAGGTCCTTAAATGTGGAAGAAGGAGGTAGAAGGATCAGAGAAGATTTTCCCATAACTTTATTTTATAAATATTATATGATATATACTTACAAATTTCTGCTATCATATTGTATTTTACAAGAACTTTGTCTTGTTTTCTAAATCTCCCTTTAAAAACATGTAACATTCTATTCTTGATTCATAGTTGCAGTATCTCCATATGTTTCCAAGGATATTAATTATAGATTTTTAAAAAATTATACAGTTTTCTTATAATTCCTTCATCATCTCTATTTTCTCTGAGTTCCTTCTTCTGGATTCTTTATTTTGATCTCTGGCTTTCATTTTGGAGGCTTTCTGCGAATGTCTAGTGTTCCCAGTATGTGTGTTCGTATTTCAGACCAAGGCACCTAAATTTTGCTTGGGTTGTGCATATATGCAGAACTTGTCAATTAGCAGGCTTCACTGTTGGGCTTTTGGTTTTGGTGCTTTGGCATTTTTTCAGCAAGAACCCAAGCCATTTCATCAGAGGAAACCCCCAAATTTAGTACCAGCAGTCATTTTCTCTGGGGTTAATTGGTTTCCCTAGAGAAGCTTCCAAAATCTTCCAATATCCTGCCTGGGGGTGTTTCAGAGGTTGGGCGTTGGGGGTGTCTGAGCCTCTCTGCTAACATTTTTGAAACCAAATGGAGAAAGAAGCTGGAGATTTCACTATTCAGTGTAGACTACCCACGAATCCTCCAGTTCTCAGCTGAGGCCAATATTTCTGAGTTTGGAGTTTGAAGTTTATCTGTTGTAAATTCCCCTTGGGTAGAAAACGACTTCCTCCTGAGGTGAAAGGGAGGTAATCTTCTCAGTGCACAGACTCGTAGTCAATGGTCTTATTTTAAGCTGTGTCCCTCACGCTCACCTCTGCATACCATAGTCCTCTAATCCCGGAGCCTTCCATGGCTTTAGCAGCTCAAACGCTTGCTTCTCACTGAATTCCTCTCCCTGCAGGCCTGGGTTTCCACATCTCCGCCCTGCTTGGTCAGTTACCCCTCATTTCACCTGCTTCTCATTTTCCAGTATTTGCCAGTTCTCCTTTTGCAGTGAGTGAGAACCTTTCCCATCTCTCATCTGCTATCATCCGCTTTTCTGTTTCCTCTGTCCTTGTGAATTTCTCCTTTTTTTATAAAAAATTTTGGGACTTTTTAATGGGATTTGAGGACAAACTAAAGATAAAATATTATATCTAATACACCATGTTTAAGTAGAACTTGAGATTTTTCTAGATAAGAACAGTTTTATTATTATCTTGCCATGCCATGGCTAGTGATGAAGAATTCTTGCTGTCTCTCTAGGCCAGTGTTGGGGCTCATACGCCAATACCCCAAAATGTGGTGCTTTGACATGCTGGACTAAAGAGGCAGCCTTAACGTGTCTTTGACCTTCCACCTCACCTCATCTTCCGTCTCTCCCAAAGCGCAGAATCAAGTTGTTCTCTGAAGTCTCTTTATCTACCTAAAAGCCAAACCTGCCAAAGAACATGTCTACCTTCCCTGAGTTTTTATGAACTTAACTCATATAGTAGGAAAAAAACCCAAAGTCTGTTGATACTTGGATAGATGTTTGTCGCAAACAACTGTTTGTTTTGAGGGCCCAAAAGACTTTGTCCTGGGCTACTGTATCTTCTTCAAGTCCATTCATTTTCCCTTAAAAATCATTTTTTACTATCTCTCAAAATACCACGTTTCCTCCATCTCTCCTTCCCCTGTGAAGAAAGGTTATATAAACATCTGTACCTCAGTGGGTTATTGGGTAATCATTCTCCTGCCATTCCCCCATGCTATGCAGCTTAAAATAAAGTTGTGTATACCTTTTCTCCTGTTAATCTACCATTTGTCAGTTGATTTTCAGTGAACCTTCAGAAGGCAAAGGAGAAATTCCCCTTCACCCCTGCACCAGCAATCATTGTTAGCTGTGGGGTTTGCTCCTGGGATCCAAGAGCATGTGCTTTCCTAGACATTAGAGGAGGCAGGGTCCCAGGTTATCAGCTTCTGCAGAAATGGTACTTAGCTGCCACACTTTATAGTTGCAGGTTGTTCTAGAATTTAGTAAATAAAATAATTCACTTCCGGTCATTTATTTAATCTCAGGATTAGACTTTGTTTTGTGAGTCTTTGAGAAGATTTAGTAATATACTTAGGGCACTTAAAAAGAAGACTAGGGAATCATTGTCCAATAAGTCACTTGCATTCAAAAACACACTGATGAGCGGTTAAATTTTATTTCCTAATCCAAACATTCAGTTTAACCTCATTTACAAATAAGTTAATAACTGGTATATTCGTTTGCCTAAGTTGCCATAACAAAGCACGACCAACTGGATAGCTTAAACAATGGAAATGTATTTTCTCACAGTTCTGGAGGCTGGAAATCCAAAATCAAGCTGTCGGCAGGGCTCTGTTTCTTCCGAAGATGTCAGGGAAGGATCTGTTCCAGGCCCTTCTCCTAGCTCTGGTGGTTCCTTGGCTAGTGGCAGCTAACTCCAACCTTCACATGAGATTCTCCCGATATGCATAGCTACCTGTTCAATGGGTGTTCTTTTTTTTTTTTTTTAATAAGAGCATCAGTTATATTGGATAGGTGTCCAGCCTATTCCAATATGATCTCATCTTAACTAATTACATCTCCAGTTACCCTATTTCCAAGTAAGGTCACATTCTGAGGTACTGGGTGTTAGGACTTCAGTATATGAATTTCAGGCATGCACAATTCAATGTATAACAAGTAGAAATGTTGAAATTTTAAAAAAGAACATCTGGCTAATAGAAAATAGCATGCACCCTGGAGACCAACTGGATTGGAATTCTGGATATGACACTTATTATGTGTGTTTAAGCAAGTTGCCTAACTTCTCTGTGCCTTGGTTTTCTCATCTATTCAGGAAGAAAAGCGGTATTCCTCCTGAAAGGTTGTTTTGAGGATTAGCTGAAATAATCAATTAAAAGCATCTCCAGAGCACCTGGCACACAATCACTGTGCAGCAATTGTTGCTATCATTATTTTTCTACCTAACTTTGGAAGAGTATCTGAGTGTTTCTCCCCTACATAGCTATTGTTTACTAGGGGTCTCCAAGTATTTATAATTATGCACCTCATGACCTAAAAATTTCTGAATATGCATGTGCTTTGTGTATGTACACAGAGATATACACACATACATACATATACACTTTCTACTTTCCTAATGTATTATATGCATTAGAATATACATACAAAGCAAATAAAAAGAATGAGATAAATGGAATTTTGGACATTTTCTCCCATCACTCCAGTGGCTCTTTCTGTGAACCCCAGTGGGTTGACCACTCCTGACAAGGATAGAGAGGCCAGCACCTATCTGTGTGATCTCTGCTCTAGTTAGACACCAAGTGACTACTGGTCACCTTCCCCACAGTCCATGCAATCTCAACCCAGTTCACTCTACAGAGGCAAGCCCAGCAGCCTGGGCCATGATCTCTGGATGTCCTGATAAACTCAAAGCTCCCAATTTTTTTTTTTTTTTTCTGCAGTGACGCCATCTCAGCTCACTGCAACCTCTGTCTCCCAGGTTCAAGTGATTCTCCTGCTTCAGCGTCCCGAGTAGCTGGGACTTGACAGGTGAGTGCCACCATGCCCAACTAATTTTTTGTATTTTTAGTAGAGATGGACTTTCACCATGTTGGCCAGGCTGGTCTTGAACTGCTGACCTCAGGTGATCCGCCCTCCTTGGCCTCCCAAAGTGTTGAGATTACAGGCGTGAGCCACTGCGCCAGGCCTTTCTTCTCCTTTTTCATTTTCATTTTATTTTTTTTCTTCAACTTTTATTTTAAGTTCTGGGGTACGTGTGCAGGATGTACAGCTTTGTTACGTAGGTAAACATGTACCATGGTGGTTTGCTGTACAGATAAACCCATCACCTAGCTATTAAGCCCAGCATCCATTAGCTATTCTTCTTGATAGGCTTCGACAGGCCCCAGTAAGTGTTGTTCCCCTCCATGTGTCCATGGTGTTCTCATCATTTAGCTCCCACTTATAAATGAGAACATACAGTGTTTGGTTTTCTGTTCCTGCATTAGTTTGCTGAGGATAACTCAAGCCCCCAACTCTAACGGACTGTAGCTTTGGCATAACAGTGGGTAGGACTTTGTCCTGGGTCACATTTTCCCAAAGTCTTAAGGATAATATTAGACTGCTTGAATCCTGCTTTTTGCTGCACACCTTCCTCCTGGAGCCCTGGAATGTCTTGCTCCAGTAGGTATTATTAACTCACAAGACCTGCTGCATAGCTGTCACCTGGGGCACCACTGTTTTTCTGAGTGAGGGCCACTGTTTCCTGGGTCCCATGTTTTCCTTGCCTTGCCTCTCTCCCATATTTGCTGTAGCACATTGTTAATGATTTACTAACCAAAGAAGTTTTGATAAATACATTTCTCCAGTCTTTGCATTTCTAAAAATATCTTTATGACTAAAACAAGGTTGACCTAATGGACATATATTAAATATTTTACTTCACTAAAAACAAAACAAACAAACAAAAAAAAACCACACACTCTTTTAAAGAAAAACTCCAAATTTTCAAGAATTGACCACCATCATATGCCATAAATCAACTTTCAACAAATTTCGAAGAATCAGTATCAAACACATCTCATTATCTATTGCAAAACAATTATGTTAAAATTCAATAACAAAAACCTATTTTTAAATAGTGACATATTTGGGAGTTTTAAAAAAGACCTCTAGATATATCGAGGATTAAAATATAAATAATAATATAAATTAGAAAAGTATTTAAATTAAAAAAATACTGTTTCAAAACTGAAGTAGAAATTTGTGGGAAATTTATAACTTTATATTGCTTGTATTAGAAGAGGAGAAAGGCTGAACATTAAGTAATTAAGTTGGATTAAGTATCCAAATAAATGGTGGCTCATGCTTGTAATCCCAGCACTTTGGGAGGCTGAGGTGGGCGGATCATGAGGTCAGGAGTTCGAGACTAGTTTGGGCAACACAGTGAAACCCCGTCTCTACTAAAAATACAAAAATTAGCTGGGCGTGGTGGTGGGCTCCTGTAATCCCAGCTGCTCAGGAGGCTGAGGCAGGAGAATCGCTTGAACTTGGCAGGCAGAGGTTGCAGTGAGCCGAGATTGTGCCACTGCACTCCAGCCTGGGCGACAGAGCTAGACTCTGTCATAAAAAAAAAAAAAAAGTATCCAAATAAAGATGTTAGAAAAAGAATCACAGAGGAAACCCAAGGGAAGGAGAAGAATGAAAATATGCGACAATGCTATAAAAAATGTCTTAGATAAGATATGTAAGACAAGAACAACATTTATGGAATAGAAAAAAATGTAAAATGAGAGACCCAACAACATCAAAGTAATTAATAAAACTTTGACAAAATCATTCAAATATGGAAAGCAAAGGTACCCACAAAAAGTGTCAGGAATGAAAAAAGGGGCTAACTAATGAGATAAAAGATAATAGGGGAATGTTATAAATAACTTTACACCAGTAAACTTGTATTCTTAGGTGAAATGGACAAACTTCTAGGAAAAAAACCTGGCAACAATTGCTTCTATGTGAAATAGAAAACTGGAATGGTTTTATAGCTACTAAAGACGTTGAATCATAAGGAAAACCCTGTGCCCAAGCAATTATACAAGTGAGTTCTACCAGGTGTTCAAGAGACAGAGGTAGAAACTCCAGATTTACTCAAATTCTTACAGAAGATAGTGGGAGGGGTAATATTCCCAAATTTATTTTATGAGGCTAATGGAACATGGATCCCTAAACTGTACAAAGACTGTCTGAAAAAGAAAAATTACAGATCAGTCACATTCATGAATATAGAAGAAAAAAAAAGAATCTAAAACATTCTGGATATAATCCAGCCATGTTTTAAAAAATTAATATATGAGCTGGGCAGGGTGGCTCACACTTGTAATCCTAGCACTTTGGGAGGCTGAGGTGGGAGGATTGCCTAAGCTCAGGAGTTCAAGACCAACCTGGGAAACATGGTGAAACCCCATCTCTAAAGAAAATACAAAAATTAGCCGAGTGTGGTGGTGCACACCCGTAGTCCCAACTACTCAGGAGGCTGAGGTGGGAGGATCGTTTGAGCCTGGGAGGTTGAGGCTGCTGTGAGGTATATTTGCACCACTGCACTCCAGCCTGCATGACAAAGCGAGACCCTGTCTCAAAACAAAATTAATATATAGGTCTATTCTTGAAAGTTATATTGAAAACTGTATTAGTGTAATTTATCCCATTAAGAGATTTAAAGAGATAATCATCTCAGTAGGTTTATAAAAAGCATTAGGTGACATTTAACATTTATTTATTGTTAATAAAAAGCAACTTCTTAGTAAACTAGACGTAGAAAGTAATTTCCTTGACCTCAGCAAGGAAATCTGCTTTTAAAAATCTACAATGAAACATCAAAAGTATTCTCATTAAAGTCAGGAACAAAATAAAAATTGCAGTGGAGGCTTTAGCCAGCTCAACAAAGCAAGAAAAATAAGAGAAACGGTATAAGAATTAAAAAGGATAAGATAAAACTCCCATTATTTGCCAGTGATGTGAATACCCACATAAGAGACCACAAATGATCTACAGATTTATTATTAGAATTGTTAAGGTAGTTTAGCAAAGCCCACAAATATAAAATCAATATACAAATGTTAATTTCATTTCTACACCAAAAATAAGCAGAAAAATACCATTTTAAAGTTTTTTAATTATAAAGAAAATGATATCTAGGAATGACTCTACCAAGAGATATGCAGGTCTTTCACATGGAAAACAATACAAATTTTGGAAATTTATTAGTGAATCTTTCTAAATAAATAGAAAGACATAATATATTTGTGGGAAAGGAAGATCAATTTGGTGAATATGTATGTTTTCTCTGTCTTAGTTCTATAACATTACAGAAATTCCATTCAAAAGCTTAACATGGTTTTCTATGGAATGAGACAAGCTTACTGTGAAGTATGCTTAGAGGAGCAAAGGGCCAAGAGTATCCAAAACCATCCTGAGGAAGAACAAGATTGGTGGTGACTGTAGGACAGCATGTTCTCTATGACATCAAGATTATTGTAAAATTGGCCGGGCGCAGTGGCTCATGCCTGTAATCCCAACACTTTGGGAGGCCAAGGCGGGTGGATCACCTGAGGCCAGGTGTTCGAGACCAGCCTGGCCAACATGGTGAGACCCTGTCTCTACTAAAAATGCAAAATTTAGCCAGGCGCGGTGGTGCGCACCTGCAGTCCAAGCTACTCAGGAAGCTGAGGAAGGAGAATCACCTGAATCCGGGAGGTAGAAGTTGCAGTGAGCCGAGATTATGCCACTGCACTACAGCCTGGGTGACAGAGCAAGACTCCATCTCAAAAAAAAAAAAAAAAAAAGATTATTGTAAAACTAGAATAATTAAGACAATGCGATATTAGAAGAGGGTGGAAAAATGAACAATAGAAAGGATAAGAGAGCCCAGAAACAGCCCACATATGGATGGAAAGTGTATATGAGAGGGGTGACATTGATGATATTTTTGCCCACAGAGGAAAAAAAAATTAAGTCCCTAATCCACACCATATGCAAACACAAAATTCAGGCCCCTTCCATCATGTGAAGACAAAGTGAGAAGGGACCATCTATGAACAAGGAAATGGGCTGAACAAGAAAATGGGCCCTTACCCCACACTAAATCTGCTGACATCTTGATCTTGAACTTCACAGAGCTGTAAGAGGTACATTTTATTGTTTATAAGCTAAAAAAAATCCAGATGAATTAAGAACTCGAATATAAAAGACAATAAAATTAAACATTTAGAAGAAAATATGGAAGAAGTTTATGGCTTCAAGGCAAAGAAAGGTTTCTTTAAAAGGATAAGACACAAATCACAAACTAAAGGAAAAGTTGGATACATTTTAATACATTAATACATTGTATATTTTTGAATACATTGAATAGTTTTATACTGATTCTGAAAGTATACCATGAAGAGAAGGGGAAGAAAAGCCACAAATTGGGAGAATATGTTTGTAACACATACAACTGACAAAGGATTTAGATCCAGAGTATAAGAAAAATACCCACAAATCAATAAGAAAAATAAAAATAAACCAAGAAGAAGATTGGTAAAAGACATCTCACATTTCACTGAAGAAGAAACCTAAATGACCCAGGATCATAGGAAAAGATGGTCAGTGAAAAGAATAATCAGGAGAACACCAGTTTAAAAACCACAGTGAAATTAATGCAGGAACAGAAAACCAAACACTGTATGTTCTCACTGACAAATGGGAGCTGAACACAGAGTACATGTGGACACAAAAAAGTGAACAATAGACACCCAGGTCTGCTTGAGGGTGCAGCATGGGAGGGAGGCGAGGATCCAAAACTACCTATCAGGTGCTATGCTTATTATCTGGGTGATGAAATAATCTATATACCAAACTCCCTTGACACGCAATTTACTCACATGACAAACTTGCACGTATACCCCCGAACCTAAAATAAAAGTTGGAAAGAAAAAAAAAAGCAGATTTAAAAATAAAATAAAATAAAAAACAAGAAAACAATTCTTTAAAATGCTACTTAATTCCTTAAAATAAACAATTGTTTAGAAAAATATAGCAGAAGATAACACGGAGCTTAGTGTATATTTTGGAAGGGTTAATGAAAATAATATATTCAAATTTCCATTTAACCCTGTATTGATCATGTATAAATCTACTGTTGTATAGGGATTCAAATCACGAAAAGGATCCTATTGAGGCTATATCTAACTAGATGGAAGAACAGAGTGTTGGCCATAAAAGTTAAAAACTTGCTAATGTATTTCTTTATCTCCTTCAGTAAAGTGTATAAAATATTCAAGAATGTATCCAAACCTTGCACGGACTTGCTTATGTTTCTGGTTTTACCACTTATTAGAGTGTAATTTCGGTAATAGGCAATATAAGGAAAGGACCACAATAGTAAAATCAGAAGAATCAAATTCTGGTCTGAGATCTGCATATTGTTTGTCTAACCTTTGGTAGTAACACCACACTCCGTGCCTCAATTGCAAAGTTGTAAAGAAGTAACTACCTTATTTAATTCATAAGACTTTCTGAAGCTCTAGTAAGATAATACAGGTAAAAATAAATAAATTAGCAAACAAATACCACAATGAGAGAATATTGCATACTATTACATTAGCCAAGATTTTAAGAAATTTGATAACGTCTCCAGTTGGAGATTTAGAGAAACAAAAACTCTTAAACACTAAGGTTAGAAGTGACTAAGAATGAGACTTTGAGAAACAATTCCGTATTCACTAAGAAAGTTTAAAATGTGCTTATTTTATGACCTAGCAATCCCACCTCTGAAGAAGCTCTTTTTTTTTCTTTTTTGAGATGGGGTCTCACTCTGTCACCCAGGCTGGAGTGCAGTGGCACTATCTTGGCTCACTGCAACCTTCAATTCCCAGGCTCAAGCAATCCTTCACCTCAGCCCCTCCGAATAGCTGGGACTACAGGAACATACCACCATGCCTGGCTAATTTTTTTTTTTTTTGTATACTTTGGTAAAGACAGGGTTTTGACATGTTGCCTGAGCTGGTCACAAACCCCTGAGCTCAGGCGTTCCACACGCCTAGATCTCCAAAAGTGTTGGGATTACAGGCATGAGCCACTGTGCTCAGCCTAAAGAAGTGCTTGATCCTCTATACCAGATGACCTGTAGAAGAATATTCGCAGAAGCATTGTGTATAACAGCCCAAAACTGGAGATAAACTGATGTCCATCAATCATAGAATGCATTTTTAAAATGTGGTATATACATAAAATGGGTAAACAATAGTCACAGGCATCCACGTGAATGGATCTCAATGGGTAAACAATAGTCACAGGCATCCACATGAGTGGCTCTCAAAACAACATTTGAACCCTCTTATGTTGCTGGTGGGAATGTAAAATGGTGTAGCCACTTTGGAAAACAGTCTGGCAAGTCCTCAAAAAGTTACACATAGAGTTAATAATTGGCCCAGCAATTCTATTTCTAGGTATTCTCCAAGAGAATCAAAATATATATTCATGCAAGAGACTGTAATGTTCATAGCAGCATTATTCATAATAGTTCAAGAGAGAAAACAACTCAATTGTCCATTAGCTGAAGAATGGATAAACAAAAATATAGTATATCCATATAATGGAGTATTATTTGGCTATAAAAATGAAGTACTGATACATGCTCAGTATGACTGAACCTTGAAAACAAGCCAAGTGAAAGAAGCCAGACACAAGAAGCTACACATTGCATGGTTCCATTACAGTCATATGTTGCTTAACCATGGGTATATGTTCTAAGAATTGTGTTCGTAGGCAATTTCATCATTATGTGAACATCATAGAGTGCACTTACACAACCTAAATGGTATAGCTTACTACATACCTAGGTTGCATGGTATAGCCTATTACTCTGAGGCTACAAACCTGTACAGCATGTTACCGTACTGAGTACTGTAGGCAACTGTAACACAATGGTAAATATTTGTATATCTAAACATAGAAAAGGTGTAGTAAAAATACAGTATTAAAATCTTATGGGACCAATGTTTTGTATGTGGTCCATTGTTGACCAAAATGTTGTTATATGGGCACATGACCACATGCAAAATGTCCAGAATAAGCAAGTCCATAGACCCAGAAAGTAGATCAGTGGTTGTCAGGAGTTAGGCTGAATGGGAGTTAGGGAGTGACTGTTAATAAGTTTCTATTTGGGGGTAATGAAAGTATTCTGGAATTAAATGGTGGTGATGGTTGCATGATTTTGTGAATATACCAAAAACCATCGAGTTGTATGCTTTAAAACAGTGAATTTGGGGCTGGTGGTGGCTCACGCCTGTAATCCCAGCACTTTGGGAGGCTGAGGTGGGCAGATCACAAGGTCAAGAAATCAAGACCATCCTGGCCAACATGGTGAAACCCTGTCTCTACTAAAAATACAAAAATTAGCTGGGTATGGTGGCGCGTGCCTATAGTCCCAGCTATTCAGGAGGCTGAGGCAGGAGAATCACTTGAACCCAGGAGGTGGAGGTTGCAGCGAGCCAATATCGCACCACTGCACTCCAGCCTGGTGACAGAGCAAGACTCCGCCTCAAAAAACAAACAAACAAAAAAACAAAAAGGTGAATTTGATGTTATGTAAATTACATCTTAATAAAACTGTTATTTATAAACAATGTTGAGTGAAAAAACGTGACACAAAATAATACACAAAGCGTGGTTTCATTTATATAAAGATCAAATATAGAGAAAATCTAAACAATGCAGGGCTAGCTACATATGTGAATGAGTATAAAGAAAATCGAGGGAATAAATAACACAAAATTTGGGATAGTGGTTACCTTAGGAAGAGGGAGAGATGTGGTCAGGAAGGGCCACAGGAGAGTCACAAAGATGGCACAGGATCTGCTAATATTCTATCTTATGCTTGGTGGTGGATGGATCAACCAGTTTTCGTAGCATTTTCTAACAGTACATATTATTCTTTAAAGTGAGGTTAAACTCTCTCCCTCTCCCTACACACACACACACACACACACACAGACACACACACACACACACATATGAGGTATATATACAGTGAGCCTATCATCTATCTATTTGGATATACACATATATATTTATGTGTATATTTCTTAATTTCTAAAAATTAAATCTCCTTCTTCATTTGGGTTTCTGTTCTCTGTTCATCCGTTGTCACTCCTGCATTGGTTTCATTCCTTTCAAGCATTTGTTGACATCTCCTGTCTGTTGATAACCTCTTTACTGGTCTCTTCATTGCTTGGAGTTGATATATTTTAATCCTGTTTATTATTTGGAGGGAATCTTTGAAGGGAGAGGAGAAAATGTGTACAGCAAATCCATCATTTTAAATCAGAAATTAGGTTATCTTTCAAATAAAATTAATAAGAAAAAGAACCAAGGCTTATTGAATACTAACTAAGGGCGGTTCTAAGAACTTTGCATGTCTTATTCTGTTAATCTTCACAACAACCCTGTGAGGCAAGAGCTTTTATTTTTTCCTGTTTTACAGATGAGGAAACTAAGAGACCGAGATGGAAATAATTTGTCCAAGATATCAGAGATAAGCAGGTGGTGGAACCGGAGTGTGAATACAGTCAGTCTCAATCTAGGAAATATGCTCTTAACAATCAGGTGACATATGTATGTGGAGAGAGTCATTCAACCCAAAGGTCCTACAAGCAATGGTGGTAGGTGAAAGAGCATAAAACCTGTACCCAGCTGAAGAGTGAAAAATCAGCTCAGAATGAAGATATAAAGAGCAGCCCTGCTGTTAATCAAGCTGGAAGGACAGACACAGATAAAGCCAGCTGCAACATTAACAGAAAACATTGTTTCTCCTAAAGTCACGCAGCAGCTGCAAAATGTCATGAAGCCTCCCTTTTTGAGTGATGACTACTGCTGTCTTAGCAATGACGCTTGTAGGCCCACTTTGCTCAAATGGGTCCTATTATTGGGGATATCCAATTGCTAAACTGCCCTAGCTTCATGACAGCATCCAATCCCTAGTAATTTCCATATATACTAATCCTGTGCCAGAAATGGCAATGAATTCAGAATGGATCCCCACTGCCCTGAGACTCACCTCAAAATCCTACAGCAGGACACCAAACCTTACATGAGATGTGTCCCTGCCTTACTCCTGCTGAGCATCATTCTACCGTTCCTTTGGAATGCCATCCCTCGCTGCATTGAGGCAATATATCTGATTTTGTTGGATTTCAGGTGTGTGCCTGGTGGTCTTATCTCAGGAGCACTGGGCTGGTGGAAGAGATGGTGATTGTTATCAGATGGCATGATGGTGACAGTGAGGGGAGGCAGACCCAGGGCTTGAGAAGGACAGAGGACAGGTGAGCATTTCCTCACCCAGGACAGGCCAGACGTGCTCCCTGAACTGTTGCCTGTGCTGGGTGTTTGCCATCAGCCATTTTTCCCTCTGATTTTATCACTTCCAATATAGGTATGTGCATTAATGTAGGTATGTGCATTCTTAGAGATTCATTCCTTTGGCTTACACTAACGACTTTTCTTACACAAAAGACCTCAGTGAACCTTGGGAGAGAAGGCAGTTCTTGGGGAGGAGAAAGATTGAGACTGGGAAGGCACATGTAGCTGCTTTGTATTCTACCCTCTGGTTGGCCTTAGTGCCCTCTTTTTGCTTGGTCTCTGGGCACTGAATCCTTCTAGGAATCTTCTTAGTTTTAGGCACTGGTTTTAATCCTGCCTGAGGCAGTTGCAACCACCTTTTCTGAGCTAACAACAATCTCCACCCCCTTACCTAGGAAGCACCTGCAACTTTAGTCAGATGGAACTTCCGGGTGTCTCACCTGGGAGAGAGAGCTATGTAGCCCTTAGGAGGAGTTCAGTGTTGTTAACCTAGTGCAGCAGAATTGTGAGCGGGGCTGAGCCTCTGCCTCAGCCTCAACTCCATTGGGGCTGCGGACAGGAGGGAAAATTGGGGGTGGGGAACTCAGCCTTGCTTGTTGGAGCACTATTTTCTAGTTAAAGAGTTCTCAGGGCTTTGATGGCCACAGATGAGTCACTATGGATATAAGGTTTATTTTTATTATTATTATTATTGATATTATTATTAATGCTCTTTTACATTGGTATTGTGTTTTTAGCTTTTCTGAGAACCTTCATCTTGATTTTCTTTGTCTCCTGTGAGGTCTACATAACAGGAGTGATAATTTCCCTATCTCATAGTCGAGGAAACCAAAGCCCAGGGAAGTTATGGGATTTGCTCACATTGGTGACAAAGTGAAAGTCCAAACCAAAGTATCTTGACCCTAGCAACGAGTAACTCCAATTTCTCACACCAGAAGAGGAGAGTGTTGAATAGTGAGTGTTGGGAATCCATCTGATCCTAGTATGTTTGAACTGTGAATATGGCCAAAGTTTAGACCATTGGGTCTTAGTGGGTGGAACTAGAGGAACTGGAAACTGGTTCTTGTTTCTCCATCTGTCACACAGAACCTACCTATTAATCCCATCCCCAGAAGCCACCCAGCCCCAAAGAAGCAAATGGAGCAATGCCTGGGCTCAGGTTATGTAAGCAGAGGCTGGGCTGCCACCAGCCCTTTGGGCAGGAAGGGGTGGAGGAGGGCCCTGCCTCTGCCCTTCAAAGGGTGAGTGTGAGACAAGAATGTGGAGAGGCCACTCTCAGCCAGGCCAGGTGGGTCTTGGCCTTGGAGCCAGCTCTGAACTGACAGGTTCAAACCAATCTGTGGCTTAGCCTGCACTTCAGAATGGGGTGGTGGTTGAAGGTTTGTTTATTTGTTTTGGCCTTATCCCCACACCAAACCAGAATGTCCCATTGAGAAGGCATAGAGTGGATAAGACAGGATGCAGTGGGTCAGGACCAGCGTGCATCAGGAAGTCAGGAAGAGAGGGTGCTCAGAACTGGAGGCTGCTTCTGCCCCTTGGAGCACAGGCCCCTGAAGTCATTTTCAGGCCCACACTCTGGAGTCTTTATTGGGAGAGTTTCAGGCATCAGTTTCCTGTAACTCCATTCTGTTCTCCTGCATCACCCTTGCTCTTTCATTTTTCTTCACACAGCAGCCAGAGTGAGCCTCCAAAAACACAGACCTGATCATGTCACTCCCAGGCCTAAGATCCCTAACGGCACCCCACTGTGCATCAAATCTGGATTCCTCAGCAAGGCCAGCAAGGCTTAAAGCAGCCCGCCTTCAGCCCCACCTTGCCGCCTCTCCTGGCTGCTTGTTAAGTTCCAGTTTCTGAACAGGGCCCTCTGTTCTCTCACCCAGGACTTTTGCACCCTGCTGTTTCCACTGCCTGCCATTCCCATTGTCCCCTTCCTTAAGCTCTTTCCCCTCTCTATTCCCACTTAGGTTATTCAGATCCCGAGATCTGAGCTCAGGATCTTCTGCAGAGAAATCTACTCTGACACAGTAGCCGGCATTAGGTTCCCTCATGGGCTCTCAGAGTACACCATGCTTTCCCTATATTGCATGTATCACAAGTGTAATTTACAATTACCGTTGTTACTGTCTGTCTCATTTGCTGGACTGAATGCTCTATGAGGACAGAAGCATTTTGTAGTTCTTTTTTTTTTTTTGAGACAGAGTCTCGCTCTGTCATCAGGCTGGAGTGCAGTGGTGCGATCTCGGCTCATGCAACCTCTGCCTCCCGGGTTCAAGCGATTCTCCTCCCTCAGCCTCCCAAGTAGCTGGGGCTACAGGTGTGTGCCAAAACGCCCAGCTAATTTTTTGTATTTTTAGTAGAGACGAGGTTTCACCATGTTGGCCAGGATGGTCTCTATCTCTTGACCTCGTGATCTGCCCACCTTCGCCTCCCAAAGTGCTGGAATTACAGGCATGAGCCACTGTACCCAGCTTGTAGTTTTATTCACTATAATATCTTCAGTACTGTGGATGAGTGAGTCAATTTGATTCAATTTAATAACTAACACTCAGATTCAGCAAAGACTTGCTGGGCACCTACAATGTGTCCAGCATGGTGCACTTCCATATGAACACTTAATTAATTTAATTTCCACAAATTTGATGCTAGAGTTTGGAGTCCCAGGGCTAAAGTTATCACATTAGATTATGAGAATTAGATGAGCTCATATATGTTGAAAAGCATAGGCCTGGCACAAGTAGGTAATCAACAAATATTTATTCAATGGACAAATATGTTAACAAAGCAAACTTCTGATAAAGAAGTTAAATAATTTCTTTTCTTTCTTTCTTTCTTTTTTTTTCTTTTGAGACAGAGTCTTGTTCTGTCACCCAGGCTGGAGTGCAGTGGCGCGATCTCAGCTCACTGTAACCTCTGCCTCCTGGGTTCAAGTGATTCTCATGCCTCAGCCTCCCGAGTAACTGGGATTACAGGTGTGTGCCACTATGCCCAGCTAATTTTTGTATTTTCAGTAGAGACTGGGTTTCACCATGTTAGCCAGGCTGGTCTCAAATTCCTAGCCTCAAGTGACCCACCCACCTCGGCCCCCCAAAGTGCTGTCATTACAGATGTGAGCCACCATGCCTGGCTAAATAATTTCTTTTAAAGCTGAAAAACATAGGATTTCCCAAATCACATAGGTTATAAGCGCTAGACCTGGGATTTGAACCCAGGCCTAGAGGTGTGAGTCCAGATCTCATCCCATCACCACTGAGCTCTCCTGGCCTGATGGGGAACTCAAAGAGGTAAAAGACCTTTGTTTGTTTTCAAGGAACAGGCCGTACAGTTGAAGAAGATAGGCACATAGGAAACAACCTGAAGACATAGTTTCCTCTGATTTCATGCCAAGGAAATTGATATGGACAGTGAGTGAAATTGGAAATCAGAGAAGAGAGAGATCCAAGGAGCAGTGAGGGAAGCCTCCAGGGAAAGAGAGGTGGGAAAGGACATTCCCGGAGGATGAGATGACAGAAGCAAGAACAGAAAGGAGCAAGTCAGTATGTATGGGTACGCCACCTACTGGACGATGCACGTTCCTAGTTAGGAGGAGAGGAAGCCTGGGGAGGAGAGGTGGTGCCAGGAGCCACAGGACCTGCATGGAAAAGAGAGATGCCATTGGGCTTGGCAATGGGAAATCATTCCAGATTTCTGACCAAGGGAGCAGTCTGGTGTGAGTAAAGTTCAGGGAAGATCAGCCTGCGAGTGTTGTGTGGGATAAACTGTAAGAAAGAGGAAAGAAAAGGAAGGCAGGGGAAGCGAAGAGGGAGGAAGAATAGAAGAATGGAGGGAAAGAATAGTAGCATTTGTTGTCCACCTTGCAGGTCCTTTCCAAAAGACAGCTTGTTTAATCTTCTCAACTACACTGCATGGTATGTATTATTATCCCAGTTTTGCCGATAAAGAAGCTGGAGTTAAAAGAGTTGATTAACTCACCCAGGGTTACTTATCTAGATAGAAACCAGAACTAATGCTTGAGTGTTTTGCCTCCAGATCCAGCAACCTTTCCTCTATATTTCAAGGTACAGCTGGCAGGGATCCTAGTTAGGAAGTTACTGCAGCAGCAGGGAAGTCATAGGGTGGTGGATTTGGGTACAGAGACTTTCCTGAGCTAAAGTAAGTATGCCCACCTCCAGGGCCCAGCTCTAAAAGCCTGATGGTGGGCACGTTGAGGTGGGCTTTGCTCTAACAAGTCCAGCAATGAAGTCAGGAGCAGTGAAGGGTCCATCCTAGGAAAAGTGTCCAGTGTGGAGTCACGTGGAGAGGAGAATCCAAAGCAGAGTCTCAGGAGATGCAGTTAGAGCCGGGGAAGCAGCCTGGGCGGGAAGTCAGGGCAGCTAGGTTTTAGCCCTGGAAGTACCACTCTGGGACTTTCGGTCAGTCACTTAGCCTCCAGGAACCTCAGTCTCCTCATCTGTAAAATAACATTTAAAATCTAATCTTCCGTATCTTTTTCATTTTGAGACCCAAATGAGATTGTGACTATGGAGGTGGTTTTTTTACTCAGGAGTTCTGGGCTTGTGGAAGAGATGGTGATTGCTATCAGGTGGCAGGATGGTGACAGTGAGGGGCAGGTGGACCCAGGGATGGAGGAGGACAGAGGACAGGCAGACATTTCCCCACCCAGGACAGGCCAGATGTGCTCCCTGAGCTGTTGCCTGTGCTGGGTGTTTGCCATCAGCCATTTCTCCCTCTGACTTTATCAGTTCCAATTAATTCGTTGCTCACCTACGAAGTTCCCACTCTCCTTAAATCACTGAGATGAGCAATTCTTATTCCAATCTTCTGAATACCCTTCCTTTTACCTTTCCTCTTCACTGAATATCCAAAGAGCTAGTGAGATAAATCCATTGTGCCTTTGGCAAAAAGTGAGTTACCAATATCCAAATATGAAGACATATTAAAATTCTTTCACATTTCCCCCAGCCCCCAGCCTATTTCTCTTCTCCACCGAATTCATCATCTGTGACACATTTGTGTCATCAATTATAGGTGTAGCTCATCCGATTCAGTTGTAGAAAGAAGAAAAAGGCACAAAAATGTTTATGCTGCTGGTTAAGTTAATGTGAAGCATTTTACATGTTGTGGGGGAGGGAGTACATGCTATGCATTGGCCGACATAATGGCTCGTAAATTTACTTATTGCAGAAAATGCATTAGTGGGTATAGCTATTTTCATTTATTTGTACCAAAGTCTCTAAAGAAAAATAAAAGAGCCAGTGTATTGCTCAAGTGCATGTGCCATTCTTACAAAACACAATGACCCCAAGGTGTCTGGATGTACCAAATCCATCCTAGGCATAAATGCCATCTAAGGCAATAGTGCTCACAGGTGTCTTTGGGACATGTGTCCCTACAGATGAGCTGGGGATGTTCACCTTCCACCTCACTGTCTGTTGCCTGTGCACACTTGTTCAGCTCTGAACACTTAGGAAATACTATGAGTTTCTCTGGAGATCAGGGCCAGAGAGGCCAGTGTGGGGCGGATCCTAGACACAAGATTAGGCCCATGATATAGGGGAAGATAGAGGGGAGGCAGAGAGGTTGAAACACCGAGGGCTGACAGAGAGGTGGGAGAGCAGCAGCCCACATGGAAAGACAGCCCCAGGGGAAGATCAAAAGGGACGTTACCCTGGGCCCAGAGAGGAGGGTTTTACTTCGTTGAAAATGAAACACACTCCAGGAGAGCATTCTAAATACCCTTGACTCTCCCATTACTGTAGCCGAGTTGCGTACTGTCAGTTTGTTTGGGATATTCTCTACTCCTTGAAGGTGGGGACTCTGGGAGATGACAGAAAAGCTGAGTTCTCCCAGGGCAGCCAGACATTTGGACAAGTGGCTTATGAGTAAAGCCACTCCTTACCCTTGTATGCTAGGAATTCACTCTTGGATTAATCCCACATGAATTTACTGAATTCCTGAGCAGAGAACAATGAACCCAGTCATTTGTGATGAAGCCACAGAAGGGATCACTGGGACTCCTGCCAGCCAAGTCTATCTGGGGCTGGACTTGAGTGATGAATTGGGGCTCGGAAGACTTCTATTTCATGGATTCTGCATTTGTTTTGTTTGTTTATGGGTGTATCAGTCCGTTTTCATGCTGCTGATAAAGACATACCCAAGACTGGGCAATTTTCAAAAGAAAGAGGTTTATTGGACTCACAGTTCCATGTGGCTTGGGTGGTCTCTCAATCATGGTGGAAGGTGAAAGGCACGTCTCACTTGGTGGCAGACAAGAGAAGAGAATGAGGAAGAAGTGAAAGAAGAAACCCTTTAAAAAACCATCAGATCTCATGATACTTATTTACTACCATGAGTACAGTATGGGGGAAACTGCCCCCATGATTCAGTTATCTCCCACTGGGTCCCTCCCACAACATGTGGGAATTATGGGAGTACAATTCAAGATGAGATTTGAGTGGGGACAGGGAGTCAAACCATATCAAGGGGCTTTGCCTTTTTAAATAGTTTTCTATATAATTCTCTGGAAATAATTCTCTGGAAATTCTAGCCTTAGCTCAGCTAAACCAATGAGGAAATAGGTATAGTCTACACTTGGTCTGGGGCCCCTAGAGGGCAGAATGGGCAGAGGCCAGGCATGAAAGTGATGGTAGCCATCCCAGAGTACCAGGACAGAGGTCAGGTGAGGAGCTGGGACCATTAGCCCTGGCTGGCCTGGAGTCTTTTGCTACACCTCCTGGGTTTGTACCTCCATGCTTTGGATGTTTATACCTCCATGCTTTGTACCTCTGGATGCTTTGTCCAATGGCTGGCAACAGCCCAGAGGGTTGGAACTGGACATAACAGAATGCTGAGTGGTCGTCAAGGACCCCCAGACTCTCTCTGCCTTCAGCGAGACCATCCCTCTCCCAGGCAACACAAGGCTCCCCTATCTCCCATCTGGGATTGGCCACCTTGTCTAAATCCAGGTACATGTGCTGAGTCCTGATGCCTCTGTATCCAGAAGGAAGCTGGGCACAGGGCAGTGCTGAGGCAAAGGAAGGGGGCTGGTGCTGACACCAAAGGGACAGGGAAAGGAGCACATTCATTTGTTCCTATACGACTGAGAGATTTCCCCTGTGGCCCTCCTTCCTATATCCTTGGCCCCTGCGGTGGCAGTTCTTCCCTAACTCCCCTTGACTATACTTGACTTTAGCCCCTAAATATTCCTCTGCACCCCGTTAATAAAATCCAAATTGCCCAAACAATGGCTGATAATCTGCAATACAGTTTCTCCCTCTTCCCAGAGCCATTCTTGACCAATTACTCCTGAAACTAGCTGAACTTGGCTGACCCCCTCTCCTGCTAAAGCCTAGTAGGAAATTCTTCTCTCCTGCCCCAAGTGAGAAGGGAATAAAGGCTCTGCCAACAGTGCTCTGGAAGATTTTCTTCTGCAACGGACTCTGCTGACATGGTGGGTGCAGCATTGCTGTGAGGGTCCATGACTGGCCCTGCTGGCTTCCTTGGGATAACATGGCCCAATCCTGGAGACAGTGTTCTATCTATCCCAAGAAAAATATCCAGGGGGAGAGGGTGGGTGGAAAACATGAAGAGAGAGAAAGGGGAGATCCTTCTGGAACTCTTAGAGGGATCTGAAAGATGTCAGGGAGGGCAATTCTAGAATCGTGGGAGATGGGCCTGCAGTACCACATCCAGGAGCTGCCCAGGATCCTCTCGCAGCTTCCCACCGCTGTGCCCTCACCAGCCCTCTTTAGCCATCCGTACGGAGGTGGCTTCATCTTCAGCATATTGTGCCCGTGTCTCAAGCAAGCGCGCCTTACTCAGTGCCACCATTTTTCTGTAGAGCTGCCCAACATCTGTGTCATTTTCTCTCCTACCTTCTACCTTGGTAAGGCATCTGAAAAAACAAGGGGTTCCCTATTAACTACTGCTTCCTGTTCTTGCTTTCCCTGAATGGAATCCAAGCTTATCTGCACAGAGGAAGAGTGTGCCAAGGCCAAGGTCCTATCAAAGGGACTCTGTTCCCTGAGTTAAACATTGGTCCTTTGTTACCTCCCTGCCTGGATGCTTCCAGAGGTGGGAGGCCTCCTAGAGCCTCCAGTTTCGGTTTGAGGCCTCTCAGTGCAATGGTTCAGGAAAAAGGAAAGGCCCAATTAATGGGCAAGAAAAAACCCAGGGACAGGTTGATGTGATGCATTTGCTCAGGGCTTCCTGCCCGGGAATGAAGGATTTTACATTTTCCTTCCTCCCTTGTACACCGAAGCCTGTTGAAGAATGCTTTCCCCCTGCTTCCCAGATTAAGCACACCATCCTTCAAAATGGAGTTCAACATCCTTTGCTTTCCATCAGCTTCCTTTGATCAGCTACTTCAGCACTCTATTCCTCATCCCCTCAGCGATTATGCAGCCATCTGCAGTGCGTTCATTTGCCCTCGTCTTTCCGTGGCGTTTCTTCTGCGTGCTCACCTCTGGCACTGGAATGCTTTCCAAGGGCGCAATGCCTGTCTTCTCCATTTGACTGAGAGCTCCCTTCTTTTCTACTCAAAGCCTGAATACACAGCACACCCTGTTCTTTAAATGTTTGCTACACACTGATTCTAGCCAAGCCTCTCCCAAGGGTAGTGTTTGAAAGGTCTCTGTGCAGGAGATATTAACTCAGCAAAAGGAAGAGAAGTTAGAAAGTTAGAGAGGCAACTCCCACTTTCTCTCTCTCTCTTTTCTTTTGCTCTCTCACTTTCAGGATTGGAATAAGTAGCATGCTATTTCACATATATATATTTCACCGATAGTTCTGCCTTGGCTATAGTAAATGATAGAAAATGAGTTTGGTTGGATTCCTCCAAGCCCCGAAGGCTATTGCCTGTTGCAGTAAGGAGGAAGGGTTTTTGAACCTAATTAACCACCTCCTCTCCTGACATCCCAACTCCTGTTACTGAGAAGTGAACACGTGGGAGGAAGAGTTTACCCTCGGCCCGTATACTGCTGTCCAAGCCCCAGACTAGTTTAACACTGACTCCACCGAGGAAGGACAGCCTGTGCCCAAATGCAGGCCCCTCTACATTCCTTTGGGTCCTTTCTCCATTTCCCACGTTTTCTACTAGGTACAAAACTCCCACATATCCTCAGCATTTCACAGAGTGTGCCTTCTACCTCCCATCCTGATTGAAACACACCTCCCCAGCCCTCCCACCCCACCTATGTCAAGGAGCTGGGCTGACACTGGAAGGCAGTGTCAGCTCTCCCTACCCCAGGCCATTCCAGAACATGCCTTTTCTGCCCCTGTAAGTGTAGCACTGCTCCTCAGTGCTTTGAGAGAGTATCCTAGAGTTCCTTTTGAGCATCCTTCAGGTACTGCCAGCTCTCTCAAGTATTGACTGGATACTGGAGTGGTTCTCACAGGTTCGGGGAATTAGCAAGGATGCGGCAAGAGCTGTAGGTTAGCTTAATCAGGCAAAAACTGGGGCAATTGTTCAGAGCAATTACTTTCTGTTGGGGATGTTTTCATATAGTAGCTATAGAATGGTGGATGAGGCAGCCCTGGTTGAAGGACCAGGGACTGAGATAACTTTGCACTCCTCTGAACCTGAATCAACTCAACCTTCCTTTTTCTGAACCTGCACTTTCCTGAAGAACACATAGCTGTCTTTGACCTCACTGGGGCTCTCAGCATCACCACATATTTTTTCTGTCATTGTTCCAAATTAACTTTATTTCTCATCCCTTCCCACAATGACTCTTCTGTACCTTCTCTTATTAAGCTCCTTACCCTACCCTACTCTCCTTGCTTTCACGCTGCCTCCAAATTAAAAGGGAAGATGCAATCTATTAGGAGGGAACTTCCTCCATTTCCCACCCTTTTCCCACAAAGGTTTGTTTTTTGTGTTTTTTTTACATCTCTCCATCCTTTCCTTCCTTTTGTCTTTTTGTTTTAATTTTTTTCTTTTTTTTTTTTTTTGAGATGGAGTCTCACTCTTTCACCCAGGCTGCAGTGCAGTTGTACGTCTCAGCTCACTGAAACCTCTACTCCCTGGGTTCAGGCAATTCTCCTGTCTCAGCCTCCCCAGTAGCTGGGATTACAGGTGTGTGCTACCATGCCCAGCTAATTTTTGTGTTTTTAGTATAGATGGGGTTTTGCCATGTTGGCCAGACTGGTCTCAAACTCCTGACCTCAGGTGAACTGCCCGCCTCAGCCTCCCAAAGTGCTGGGATTACAGGCGTGAGTCACTGCGCCCGGCCCATCCTTTCCTTCTCCTCCCCTGACCTGGAAAAGTTGCTGACCCTCTTTCCCCAGAAGAATTTATTCTTGTTCATTAGATCTCGTCTCCTCTACTTTTCCTTAGGAGCCTTCCTCTATATGATCACTTTTCCTATGTATTTAATTTTTTCTCTATGGACGCTTTCCTTCTAACATATAGTCATGCTCGAATCTATTCCATCTTAAAGCAAACAATAAAAAAAAACCCTTCTGTACTCTTGATCACATTTTTTTATTCAATTTCCCTAGCTTTCTTCCCTAGCTAAGCTATAAAGGGAGGGAAGTAGATTTAACTACACTCACTGTCTTCACTTCCGTTGACTCTACAACTGGCTAAAGTTGGTTTTCACACTCGGTTCTTCTCTGAAATTGTTTTTGCTGAAATTATTAGCGACCTCTTAATTTCAAAATCCAATAGAAATGTTTTAGTGCCATCATATTTGATGTGTCTGGAGTACTTGGTATTGTTGACCAGGTTCTTTTCTAGAAACTCTTTTTTCCCCTTAGCTTTCAAAATCTCTCTCTGAATAGTGGTGAGTACTATGCAGAGAATTCAAGAGTGGTACTTCATAGTACCACATAGGAAAGATCAAGTGTCATCTTTAGCTTGATCATTCAGCAAAGGCCTCTCAGAAAATCTGAAATTTAATCTAAAACGTAAAGGATGAGAAGGAACTAGCTACGTAAAGACGAGGAGAAAAGAACTCCAGGAGAAGGAACAGCCAAGGTAGAGTCCCAGAGCTGGGACAAGCTTGATGCATTTAAAGGAGAACATGAAGACAGATCTGAGAAGGGGGCACAGGAGAGAGCCCTGAGGCCCAAGAGGATGAGAAGGCAAAAGATCCTGAGGAGGAGTACACAGTACCCAGGAGTCAGTGTTTCAAAATGAAGGGAGTCGTCAATTGTGTCAAATGTGCAGAGAAATAAAGTAAATGCGAGTAAAGCAGACTACTGGATCTGCCAACATGGATGTCATTGGTAACTCTGACAACATGGTCTTGGGGGCATGGAGGGGAAAGATGCTTGGTTGAAGCGGGAGGAGGAGTGAGGTTCAGGTGAGAAAGGAGAGGTTGTGTTTATTTCAAGGGACATTTCCAGAGGGGAGCAGAGAGATGGCTAGGGTGCTAGAGCAGTGCTGTCCAACACCAGAGCCACTTGCCTAATTAAAAAATGTAAGTTTATGTTAATTAAAATTAAATAAAATTAGACATTTAGTTCTTTGTCACACTAGCCAAATATCAAGTGCTTGAGGGCCACATGTGAGGAGCAGCTACTCAATTGGGCAGAGCAGATAGAGCATAGTTTTATCATTGCTGAAATTTCTGATGGACAACTCTGCTCTAGAAGATGTGGGGTTAAGGAAGGTTTTAATTTTGTTGTTGTTGTTGTTAATTTTTTAATTTGAGAGATACTAGACAGAACAGTGATCAAGTAGAAATTGGGGGTGCAGTTTTCTCATTGGACTTCTCTTTATTTACCTCCCTTTAGATGTCAGTGTGCCCCAGAGATCCATCCATGAGCTCTGTTCTTCTTATTCTACCCATCCTCCCTAGACAGCCTTATCCATGCTCATGATCGACTGTCACCTACATTTAGTGGCTCTGTTATCGCTTCTCCCCCATGAACTGCAGACCCGCAGTCTACCTGCCAGGGGCCATGTCAACTTAGAAGTCCCACAGCAACCTCAAACTCCGTATGCCCCAAACCAAACCTCCCTTCTTCCTGGTCCTACCCCTATAGCACATTCATGAATTCTGTCTACTTGTTCAGACCAGCAATGTGGGCATCATTTTGAGCTCCTCTTTCTCCTTTAGTCTTTACATCCAGTCAGTCACTAAGCTGCTGGTTGGTTTGTGGGCACATTTAGAATTGTGCACCACCTCCATCTTCACTGATTTATTTAAATTCTCACTTGGACTGTTGGGAGCATTGTGGATTAGCTAGCAGAAGACTCACATCCACCCCCTTCTCCCAGGCTGGCCTCTATTAGAGAGGACAAGACAGGCTTTCTTACAGCCAGAGATGGCTTGTGACGTAATTCTGGTCAATGAGACAGAAAAGAAAGTCTGTTCAGAAGTTTCTGGGAAAGACTTTGCTTTCTTATTTAAAAAGACAGATATGGATGCTCCCAGTATTTTTTCCCTTCTTAATCCTTTGAATGCCAGCAATATGACTGGAGCCACCATCTCGCAATTGCAGAAGGAAGGCAAAGAGAATTCCTGTGCCTCTGCCCTGAACAATGCCCATAGCCACCTACCCTCATATTTCCCAGTATGGGAGAAAAAGATAAATCCCCTTTTATTTAAGCCACAGAGGGTTCTGTTACTTGCAGCCAAAAGCATCTTTGACTGATAAAGGCTTCTAGCTCGTTTCTTTGTTGTAGTATCATTGCAGTATGTTCCATTATCCACAGCCTTGGCCAGAGCCTTTACAAAATGCAATTTTGACCTTGCTACTTCCCTGCTTTAAATCTCCCATTGACTCTCCACTGCTCACAGGATAGAGATCAGACTGTTTTGCATGGCACATAGGCCCTCCACAGTCTCCTGTTGCCTGCTCCTCTGGCCTCATCCCTGGGCACTGTACATCACAGACAGTTCTCCAGATACACCACACTTCTTTGTGCTTTCTTGGCACATGCTGTTTCCTCTGTCTGGAACACCTCTTCTTTCCAGGTCTTTCCCCTCCTCTCTTAGATCCCTACCCTCTATGGTTCTATATCTTTATATCTTGAATATAATCATACCTTATTGTCTCTCTTGCTAGACTATGAGCTCCTTCATTTTCTGGGTATGTCTTATTTATCTTTGTTTTCCTAATATTGGATAGAGGGTTTGAACTCAGGAAACTGAGAAACGAATGAGTGTGCTGAACCAGGGGCCGTGATTCTGTCTCTAGTTTTACTTATTGTAACCCCATGAGCTCTCTGAAACTCATGTTCCTCATGTGTAAAACATGGGTAATTCTATCTTTGTTGTTTGCGGTGTCAGTGAAATTGTTTTTATATGGCAGATTTGTAATAGCAAAACAGCACTGGCCTTGCTGAGAGGTCAACCCAAGTTCAAATCCATGACTCCAATAATTACTAACTTATGAACTTGGGCAAGTTGAGTAAACTGTCTGTGTCTTGGTTCCCTAATTGACAGAGAGTTAGATAGAAATGTGTGGGGCTGTTATGAAGCTTACTTGAGATACTGAACATGAGAATTCTTGGTTCTAAGAGGGACTCAATAAATGTTTAGTTGAAGTGGACATGAAAAGAGGGGATCTTCAGTCTTGATAAGATCCTACTTGGGATGCCCAGTTCCTGGACAAGAGCTGTGGTCCCCATGCTGCTGGGCAGCCAAAGCCCAAACCTGTGCCTGCCTCCTTTCACTGTGCAGACAGTAGGCACCATGCCAGCAGCTCCATGCAGAGCTGCACTGGGTCTCCGTCCCTAGGTTGGAGGAATAAGAAGAGTCACGACCATCTGCACAGCACTGAAAAGATTTCCTGATGCGTCCATAAATATATATCTCATGTACGTCTTGAGCATTCAGCAAAGGCTTCTCAGAAAATCTGAAATTTAATCTGAGACTTAAAGGATGAGAAGGAACTAGCTATGTAAAGATGAGGAGCGGAGAACTCCAGCAGAAGGAACAGCCAAGGTAGAGTCTCAGAGCTGGGACCAGCTTGATGCTTTTAATAAGAGAACATGAAGACAGATCCTTCAGGAGCCCCTGCCTAAAGGACGGGGGCAGGAGAGTCACTCAAAGAGGAGATGACAAATATTTCCTCAGATCCAAGCAACTGAACAGAGCCAGGAACTAATCCAAAGGAGGCCTTCACAGAGTCCTGCCTACCCACTAAAGCAGAGTGTGGCAGGGTTGGTGTGAGCTGGAGGAGGTGTTGATGTTGCAAGTCAACTTGTGCTGTAGCCTCAGTCCTACTTTCAGGCATGAAGGCCCAGGAGGTAGAGAGCGCTGTACTCTCAACATGTCCAAACACAGACCCATGCAGGGGACCCCCAGATCTGAGCCTCTCGCCATGGTCTATGTCTCAGTGAGTGGTATTAGTATCCATCCAATCACGAAGGAATGAAACCAAAACATGACTCATGACCTCACCCTCTTCCTCACCCTCAGTAATAGGTCCACCAAATCATGTCAGTGATGAACATCTTCAAACCTTCTTTCTTTTCTTCTTTCTGCCACCACCACAGCTGCACAGTGCCACACTGCCTCCCTCCCAGACTACAGCAGTAGCTTTCTAACTGTTCCCTTCACACCCATCCCAGCCTGTCTCAGTCCCCTCCCAACCCAGCCACCAGAATGATCTTTCCATCTGTAGAGATGTACAGAGTTTGGCGCAGCAACTCTCTTCACGTAAGAGGAATTTTTTGAAAAGTCTCTGGGGGTTGACGCTTAGATCCTAAGAGCCCTCAAGTGTCGGGTGGAGGTGAGAAGGATTTGCTGGTTGTGCTATAAGTTGGAAAAGAAAAAGAAAGGGTGGAAGGGGAGGTGATGTGAGGCCATGTGGTTGTGATAGGTCCCCCAGCATCCCCCACACTGACCTTCAGTAAAAAACTCAGAAAATAACAAAATGCTTAACGAAACCTGATTTCCCATGGGAATCAGTGAAAGGCCTGGGCTTTGGGTCTAGACCAATAGTGAGCGGAGACAGAGACAGTGGCTTAGGGATGGCAGAGTGTGGATTGGGAAGGAGGCAGGTGTGGGGAGGCTCCGAAGCAGCACACACAGATGCAGATAGGACAGAACTGTAGGAGGCTCTTAAAACTGGAGGAGGGCTTTGACTGTTTCAGTTCTGAGGAATCTAGGTGCAGGCCAAGATTAACCAGTCCTGATGGGGGTCCCAGTTGGCATCTGAATTACACGTCTATATGATAATAATATGAATAGACACCATTTATTCAGCAGTGTGCTATGGTTTTTTTTATATGTAGTATCTCATTTGATTCTATTTTCATAAAAACTGCAAGGGGTAAGTATTATTATTGCCTTACTTTACGAGGTTCCATCCTGTTATAATCTAAGTTCGTTTTCTCTCCATTTTTAAGATAAACAATAACTGTAGGGCGGCATAAAGTTCCCTGAACCACACAACAAAGAAAGTTAAAAGATGCAAAAGGTAATCACCGAAAAGGAAACTGAAGTGCAGAGACCCTGGCAGCCTGGCTCCTGAGCCTATGCTCTTGGCCACTGTATGTTCTCAATCTCTCTTCCCTCCCCTCCTCTTCCCTCCTTTCTTATCTTCTTCCATCTATCCACTCATCCATCCATCCATCCATCAAGCCTCCATCCATCTATCCAACTATATTTCTGACCATATCTCTCTCTATATATACATAGTTGGAGGTAGATATAGATATAGATATAGATATAGATATAGATATAGATATAGCTATCTAAGTTGACATGCCAGAGGCCATGTCAGCTTAGAAGTCCCACAGCAACCTCAAACTCAGTATGCCCCAAACCGAACCTCCCGTCTTCCTGGTCCTACATGTATATATATATACATATATATATATGTGTGTGTGTTTATTTCTGACCATAGATATAGATAGGTAGATAGAAAGAAAGGAAGAAACATATGTATCTCCAACTATAGAGATAATTCCTCTTTAGGTGGGAGGTTGAATTACAGAACCTAAAAGTTTCCTTTCCGTTCTCAAGTTCTCTGAGGTTTAGTTTATTTTAGACTATATTTTGATTATTTTTGGCAGGTGTTTATCTTCCTAACTTGTTTGGATTTACCGAAACATACATTTCAGGGCTAGCATGGATCTAGGAGAAAGACCAAGTCCCTCATGTTGAGAGTGAGAAGAAGTGACCCACTAAATCTCACCTGGTCCAGGCCTCTGCCTGTTTCACATTATTTTGAATTCTGGATACGTGGCAAGTGGTGATAAGGACAACAATCCAACTAGGTAATGAGTAAGAGAGAGTGACAGCCTGGAATTAGAGTGTAATCTGTTTTTACCACATGTGTATGCTAACAGTCAGTGATGATTGTGACAGTGGTCATGACTCCAGCAATTCACAGGTCCCTACACCTGAAGAGATTTAGAGACCTCATCCAATGTACTTCTTGCCTCCTGATAACTAATGCCTGATTCATTCCAGAGATGAACAAATTTAAAAGAACGTGCTATTTAAAATAAAAAAAAGGAATTTTAAAACCTTTTCTAGCTTTTATTTCTTTCTGAGGAGTTCCCTCCTGTTATATGCTTATTTTTTTTACCTTCATTTTAAAAATAAATAACTGTAGAACAGCATATAGTTCTCTGAACCACACAGCAAAAGAAAGTAAAAGGAAGCAAAAAGAAGCTTGCTCTATGGTCATGGGCAGTAAGAGACTGATGATACAGGAGAAGTTGGATTTGAGGATATGAAAGCTGGAAACAGCTGGTTCAGGCTGCACCGGAACACACACATTACACCCATGCCAATTGCTGTCTTTTCAAACTCCAGGAAGCCTGGCATGGGTGAAGCTGAGTCACGTGGAGGCTGTGCCGAAGCCTGGTTGTGCCGTAAGTTTTGTGTGCAGCAGGCTCTATCTTTCTCTCAGAAGTGAGTTGGGTGAGCCCTTGGTATCCAACCCTCCCTACAGTCACCTCCTTTGAGAAGAAAAAAATAAGACCCAGAAGGTAGTATTATCATTTATTGAGTAGCTACACTGTGGCCAGAACTAAGCTTTACATGTTTTATATCACTTATTTATCTCAACAATCTTGAAAGGGTGGTATTATTTTCCCCGTCTTATAGGTGAAGACTCTGAGGTTCAGAAAGTTAAAGTGATATCGCCAGGGTTCCTGACTGGTAAGTGATGGAGGCTGAATTTGAGCCAGATCTATATGCTCCATCATCACTCTCCTGGGGAAAAGAGCCTAGATGTGTTCTATCTGCATTCCTGCTTAGATTCTGCATGACTTCTCCTGTCCATCCCCTTGGCCCCCTCTCCTCTAGTCCATGAGATTACAGCTTTGCACACTGACAGGAGGGTCCTTCCTTCTTAGCCTACACATACAACCAGGTGTCAAAGGATGGAAGGGTTCATCTCACACACTCACAGACCATGTAGACTATTCAATCTACACCTCCAGCTCGAACTCAGAACATTGACAGGAACCTGCTCTTCAATCTTTCACCTCCCCTTTCTCCATGAAACGAACGTCAACATTCACACAGCAGCCCATCCCCAGCCTACAGGGCGGCCCCTGCCAGATCATGCTTCCCACTGTGGAAGAAGGCATGTACGAGTGAGTGGGCTCATCGGTTGACCTCTGTGTGAGATGGCACGTGGTCCTACCCTGCAGAGTCAGAGCACAGAATTCCAAGTGTAGCACAGGTGTGGCAATTCAGAAGAGCAGCTGTCAACACATCTGAGGGCACAGACCCCCCTATCATGCCAGGCTGGGAGAGGCCACTCCTGTATTTGGCAGGTGGCTTGTGCCCAGTGGCATCAAGGCTATGGCAGGGTATAGCAGAGATCTAAGGCCAAGTGGAAGTAGAGCTGTCGCTTTGATTTTGAAAATCAAATGAATGGCCTTTACAAACTTCCACCCACAATTCTTTGAAAAGGGATGAGTAACTCTGACCCTACTCTTACCTCCCTCCCCATCAATTCAAGCTGAATTAAGAGAAATCCTATGTGGATACACAGATACAATGACCTCAGCTCTGTCTAGCACCACTTTCAGGGAGGCGGATGTCCTCACTGGGCCCTCTTGCATCTCTTCAAAATGGGAATGACCAAGTTTGGATTTATTATTCTATTCTTGAATCCCAAAGACCATCCTAAGAGCAAAATATGCTCCTTGAAGGATGAGGATGTGGAGAAGCACGGTATCTTTAAAAAACAAGGGAAGGGAGTCTCAGATTAAGAAAACTGGAGAAATGGGCATGTCAGTAGGATGAGGATGCCTAGTGGCAGGTGCAGGATGTCTGTGACTTTGTCGTGTGTGGGAGAAATGACCTTTCTCAGGATGTGGGAATATAATAGGCTGTACTCCTGATGACCTTGACCATCCTAATCACACTTGTGTGATGCCAGGGCCCCAGGTTCCACCCAAGTTTTACTTTATAGCTATTCCCAAGTTTCCCTATTAATCAAGAAAATTAATGAATAAGGAATAAGGTGATCATTCTTCAGGTTATGGGTTGAAATAGACACAGAAATCAACTCAGCTGAATATAGCATGTGGAATCAGTCCTCCAGAAGGCAGCTTTCTCTCTTTCTGGGGGTGTATAATAAGACATAACTTGGCCGGTTGTGGGAGTCCTCATCAGCCGTGACAGACCAAGTCCTCACCCATGGCCAGGAATGAGGCACAGGCTTTTGGATGTGCGTGTATGAGCAAACGTACACAGAAACCGCCACACCCACACCTCACATACCATGACAGGGTGGAGTATTTGTTGTCCTTATGTTAACCTTGTCACCGTTTTCAGAAATTCTGGGCTTTGATGGTGCTGCGTCCATCAGGACACAGTCCAGAAATTCTCAGCAGCCTTAAAAGGCACCTTTCCAGCAACATTCCCTTCATCTGCCCCTCACATCTGGGCATCCTGGACTCCAAGCAGTTCACAACCATAAGTAAGATTTACTTCCTAAGGGGAAGCAGGAGTCATGTCTGGCCATGTCTCACCTCCAAGCTTGTATTTGCAAGCCCACACCACCCACCCATAATACCCTCTTTCGGCATTTGCTCAAGCTGCACAACTTGGTCACGGAATTTGAGGGGAGAGGTGTTCTGGTTAATGATGAGTTACCATATAGCTATCTTCCAAAGATAAAATTAAAAGCCACAGCAATAACTATTAGTTTGAACAATATTTAATCTCTGATGCTTCAGAAGGCACTTTGAGATCTTGAAGGGCCTTAGGGTTGAGTCTTTGATGGTGACTATGGCTCCTTAGGGTGCTGTGTGGATGTACAAGAGCACTGGCTAAGGAGAGGTGGCAGCATGCAACAAGGGTAAGAACCTCAGCTCTTTCCCTAAATGGCAGGCTGACCCGGGGTTAGTCACTTCCCTTCCCCAGCAGCACTGCGTCAGAGCTTCTCTGAGGCCCCTCTTACCTCTGATATTCTATTAAGACTGGCAGAGGATGTATTGTGTGGGTTTTCTATCACTGGAACTGAGAAAAATTTAAAACTACCTGCATCAGCACAGAGAAGATCTGAAACGGTTCTTGGGTGTTTATAAAGCCCGTGGGCTGGGCTCCCATCTTGATGTCAGCCCAGCCCTGGGGTCAGTGCAGACTGAGATACGGAGCAGGAAAGCAGGAAGAACGGGAGTAGCAGAGTCAGGGACGACAGCACAGTTGGTGATTGAATTTATCAAGCCTGTGGAGAAGGACTCTCCCTGGTGGAGGTAGTGGCATAAATATGTGGTCACTTATCCTGCCTTCTCAGACCAACAAGAGCTGTTCTGCTATCAATCAACCGAGAGATTGGGTTACAGGGACGTATCCTGTCTTTGGGACTGGTGATACTGAGAGGGCAGTGGGTGAAGAGATAACGAATCAGCTCCTCTTAGCCCAGGCCTTGTCCAGAAGGCTGGAACTGAGAGAGGGATCTGGCAAGGTATGAGCCAGTCTCCATCCACTGTAGGGATTCCAGGAGGCCCATATTTCATGTGACCCTGCATTTGCTGGATGTGACTTTTTTTCAAGTCATTGACACGTCCATTGTCTCATTTGACTTTTTGTCTCAGGCATGGCCAGCCCCTTCACTCAGCTCTCACTAGGCTGGACTCTACCCAATGTAAGAAAACATCTAACAAGAGCAAAATTCTGAACAGTGACTCATTGTGTTATATCAATAGCTTCAGTGATGTATCCAGCGGCCCCCCCTCCACACACACACCAAACACACACACACACACCCTCTTGTGGAGATCACCTTCAGAATGATCCACATGGGAACTCAATGGCACAACACTGAATATAAATGTATGCTTGGACTCAAATCTCTCCCTCCCATTCATCTTGAGCCCTGAGTTGCGTGGTGGCAAAGGCTCCCAAGTGGAGCATGTGTCTCTTCTTGTTCAGCCAGGACAGGGTCTGTACTGGTCGCAGAGTCTACTCCTTCAACAGTCCCAGCTTCTTCAGGGCCTCCCTTCTGTGTTCATTGGGGACACCCTTTGGGGAGATCTTGACACTGACACAGGGGGGGCGAGGAAGCTTGTCACGGCTCTGTCCTTGGTAGGACAGGCGCTTGGAGCTCTGCTCCTGCTCCAGGTCAGCCAGCTTGCCTACCTGGATACCTGCAAAATCTTTCCCCGTGCCCAGGGAGGCCGGGCGGGGCCGAGAATTACGTAAGACACTGGGCGAGATCTTGTCCAAGAAGGAGCCCTTTCCCAGAGAAGTGCTGGTTTTGGGGCTGGCATCTTTCTCAGTTGAAAGGTAGCTGCTCAGTCCCACGCCTGAGCGCTCCAGAGTGTTGGACTTGAAGTTCATCTGTCTCAGGCCAGGGGTGTTGCTCTCCTGGAGAGTCAGCCCTGACTCTGGCTTCGGTGGAGTCAGGGCACTGTTTGCCCTTGGGGCCTTAGGGATAGAAATTGGCATAGATTTGCTAGCTGCAACATTGCCTGGAGCTGGAGACTTCATTGGCAAAGGTCCCTGAGCTGGACCTGGAGCTGGAGCCGGAGCTTGAGCCAGAGCCTTCCCAGCAGCAGGAATAGCTGCTGAGGCCTGGGCTGGAGCTGCAGGCTGAGCCAGACCTGGAGCTGGGGACAGATGCTGGGCCCGTGTCTCCTTGGGTCTGATGGAGCTGGTGGGCTTACTTAAGTGGAGTCCAGGCTCATCTTGATCCTGGGGTAGCCCCAGCTTCTCTAGAGCTTCTTTACGTGCTTTTCTCTGCTCTTGCAGTGAACAGGAGATCAGGCCAGAATCTCCAGGGGCAGCCTCAGTGTGGCGGGACAGCCAGTGCTGGGGGTCACTGTGGAAACTGCTTCGGCTGCTCTTCAGAACAATATTAGGTGGCAGCTTCCGGGGCTTAGGGGTTGTGAGGGGAGCTAGTCGGCTGTTTGGGTCCTCCCCTGATGAGAGGGGAGCATCTTCAGCTCTTGCATTCTGAGGCAACCCTGCAGGAGGAGGCTGGGGTTGTGTGTACCTGGTTGAGACTGTTTCCTTGGCTTTTTGGGACATGGCTTCTGAAGGAGTCTGCTCTCTTTCCTGGGAGCTGGATGGTGTGTGGAGCTGGGGTGTGTGGCCCTGCTGTCCTGGCCCCTCGGGCAGGCTGGCTTCCCTACACTGCTCTGGCTGGGTGTCCCGGAAAGCTTCTGGCGGAGGGATGAGCACCACGTCCAAGTCAAGGGCAGCCTCCTGGGGGCTGGCAGGTGCCTGCCTGGGTTGGCTGCTCTGGCTGACCTGTTCTTTCTCAGGCTCTGGCGCAAGCCTCCCCGGTTCTCCAGGGTTGTGACTGCTAGCCTGGGTGGTGCTTTTCCTGAAGTTCTGGCTTCTGGCAATGTGGATATTCCTAGGGAGGCTGTAGGAGCCAGACCTGAGGCCTAGGCCCTGGGGCTCAGGAGGGTGGGATGAGCTGGACTCAGTTACTGTCCTTGGCGTTCGTCCTTGCTGAGTGATGGTCTCCTCTGGACCTCCTGTGAGGGTCAGAAAGAACATAAAAGAGTGGACAGAAAAAGAGTGGACAGAGGTGAGGGCCCTGCTGCAGAGGGGAAAGCAATGACTTCCTGAACTCTGATCCCAAACTAGCAATGAATGGGTTTTATTTTGCCTTGTTTTCTTTGCTTTTACAAGAGCAGCACTTTTGTCTGGATATCATTTAGACTAATAGATCAGTAATAGCAGATCCAGGGCCAGGCGCAGTGTCTCATGCCTGTAATCCCAGCACTTTGGGAGGCCAAAGCAAGTGGATCATTTGAGCCCAAGAGTTCGAGACCAACCAGGGCAACATAAGAGACCCCCATTTCTACAAATAATAATAGCATATCTTTTTTTGACTGAGAATTAATTTTTCATGATGGGCGGCAAGAGAGTGACCCCTGATTGCTCTAAGTTATTGACTTGACCTCTCCCCAGTTTTCTACAGAGGCACCAGGGTTGGAGATAAATTTGGGACAGTTCCTTCTAGCTATTTTGGGCCTCCCAGATAACTGAGCCCAATGCAAGCCTCTGAATAAGTGATTTGCTCTTGATTCAACCAGGCTTCTGCCTTCTACTTGCACTTTCTATGAGCATGTGGATAATTCTGTAATAGCCATAGTGTCCCCACACCAGAAAGTGACTCCTTTCCTTCCAGTGAGCTAGGCAGGTACATCAGGCCCCCTGGGCCAGTGAATCAGCCTCATGGAGCAGGAAAGCCCTACGTCCCCATTTATAGCTCTAGCTCCAGGGAAGGTCTAACTACTTGTTAATAAATATTTGCTAAATGAAACAACACAAAACTGCAGCCCCAATACCAGCGGGACTGTCCTCAGGAGTAAAAGGTTTCTCACACCCTGGGACATGTGGCCCCACAGTCATGGCCACACTTGTGTGTTGTTTTGTTCCCCTTCTGCTGAGCCTGAATACCACTGGCTTTCCACGCTCTCTAACGAGGGCCTTGAGGTACTTCCCACTGCAGCTGGGGAGCCCTTCCTTCTCCTTATCTCTCCTACCCTTGTCCTCTGTGTCACCCAGATTAGCTCTCTAGACTGACTCAGTCTCTCCAGAGCCAACCACCCAGCCCTCCCTGACTCCCTCCCCCGCCTCTGCGGTCATATCTCTTTAGAATTTTTCCACAGGAGAATGGGAGCTGGTCAAACCCCTTTCCCTTCTAGAGCTCTGATACTTCATAGACAGACATAGGAAGCTGGCTTGCCAGGGGTCCCTCCTTCCCTCCAGGGACAAGGCTCTGTTCTAGCCAGGAGAGTGGTGAGGAGTGTGGCTACACCTTCTTCTGCCTGTGACCCTTGGGGTAGAGGGCAGGCGAGGTAGAAAGTGGCCGGAGGGGACATATTGATTTTCTGGGTTTTGCTGGGGTTCCACCCCAGAGGGTCTGCCTTACCCCGGGGAGTGGGTTGGGTTATGGGCAGTGCTCGGAAACCTCTGGGAGTTGTGGCTGGCTCAGACTCGTCAGTGGACAGTCCGCTGTCAGCCTCCGTGTCCAGTGAGCCAATGGTCTCCTCCAGGAAGAGCAGACACTCCTTCTCTTCAGTGGACAGGAAGTCGTAGCTGCTATCACTCTGTTGGGTTTGGGGTTGGGGGCGGGGGCGGGGAGGCGGGGGGGAGGGCGAGAAGAAGAACAGGAGAGGGAGAGAGAGCTGTGAGAAAGCGCTCCCTCCGCAGAAACTGGCGGGGCCTGAGAACCACCCTGCAGAGAGGAAGGAATGCTGAAGAGCTGGAAACCTTTCCCTCCTGCTACTCTGCAAAGCTGCTGGAGTTGCCTCCTGAAACTGTAGGCACCAGGGAGGGCAGAGTCTGTCAGGAGGCTGGCCCACTAGCGCCCAGCTCTGGAGCTGGGCAGGCACATGGCAGGGGCCTTTCTTTTGCTCAGTCCTGGCTTGAATGCTTAGGGGCACAGATTAGAAGCAGTCCCAAGTTTCAATGTTTGACAGCCTTTGTCAAACATCTCACTTTGAGCACCTCTGATTTAGCTCCAAATAAGAAGTGCAACATAACAATTTGACCTGAAACTTCAGTGGTATTGCTTTTAACTTTTAAAAGTACTTCTGCATACTTGATCTGGTATGTCAAGGGCAGTATGAGGAAAAGCAGGAAATGAAGCCAGCTATGAGCTGCCAGGCCAGTAGGAACTGTGGCATGACTGGCCACAGATAAATGTACTAAATGATTTGTACTTGACTTTGAAATGCATTCCATACGGGAATTTTTCCCCTTGTACATTTACTTTCTTGATGACATTTGGCTCTGGCTAATGTTCAAGTAAGTGTGCATTTCTAAAGCAAATATTAACTTAAAGGGGGAGGTTGGTGGAGAAACTGGATGGTATGGGAGGAGGGAAAAGCAGCTTAGTATTAAATATTAAGTAGATCTTAAAGTAGATCATATTCATTATGAGAGAGTACATAGAGGTTTTTGGAAGAAAATAATAATGGTCATCTCAGACAGTTACTGTCTATGTTGTATGGGGCTAGAAGTTTGCTGGAATAGTTGCTCTTCCACAGAGGAGGTTGAAGGGAAAACAAAAGGGCAAATTGGAATATAAGAAATTTGGGCCAAGTCTCTTCTTGGCATCTCCAGCCCTTTTCCTAATATTTGGGACACTTCAGAGTTGTATATTCTTCAGGCCCACTCAGATGGCCAGGAAAGATTTTGAGACAGCTCTAAAAATATCCTGGAGGGAGGGGAGAGGGTTGCAGAATAACCCTTCCATTTGCCTCTGGAACTTCCTTTCGCATGTGGGCCTACATGTTAAAGCAAGCCCCAAATATAGCCCCTGGAAGCTCTGAAGCTGACGCCAAGAGTTTCTTGAAGAAAAATATCTTTATTGTCCTCTTCCTCCTAAAATAGCCTTGCCAAGGATAAGCTGACTCTGAGTTTCTCCTTCATGAATGATTCACTTTGAAAACCTTTAATCCCTGTCACATTCTGTGTCCAATGCTATGTGACTATTCACGTTGGCCTCAGCCTAAAAGACATAGAAAGACGTCTCCACAGCCCCATTATCTAGGGTCAAAATGAAATTTGTATGATTGTCTGCACTTTGGATTTGTGCATGTGTGTTTCTTTCTCTACTCTATTTTTACATATCAAAATCCACTGGTTGTCTTAAACATCTTGACATTCAGTAGACACCCTTAAATTTTCAAATACCTCTATAGGATACAATGCAAAAAAGCATAAATTCTCTATGATTCTTATGTATGTGACAAGCATGAACAACAAATGTTTGCGTCTGGATGCAGCACAGATTTACTCTTTCACACCAGCCTCACAACAACTGAGATTTAAATTCATGCCCAGAAAAATTACAGTTTATTAAATGCCACTCACAAGTAGCTAAACACAGTGACTTTGGAAGATTCTCAGTCTCTGCTCCTAGAAAGGCTGATTCTTTTCTATATAGAGGCATATGCTAGGTGCTTTACCTGTATCACATTTACTCCCCACAAATTGAATTGGGTATGAACACTAAGTATCCCATTTGAAAACTGAGGAGGCTAAAGCTTAGAGAAATTAAGTAATTTGCCCAAGGTCATACAGCTTATAAGTAGAGAACTTAAATCTGTTTGGTTCCAGAACCTAGGCTCCTAATTACCTATTTTCTTTGATCTTTGTAAGAGACTAAAGTAATGCTGCTCATTGCAGAGAACTTCAATAATCCATGTGCTACAAGAATCTATGTTCTGGTTTCCACCATGACCTCAGATTACAGGCCTACTCTCTCTGCTCAACCCAACCCCCAACCTAATGAAAATCGGCGGAAAAAGTCTCATTTGCCCAGTTGCTCTCTAAGGTCGTCCCATCCTATTCTCTATAGAGCCAGGGCTGACTCAGGCAGAAAGCACCCACTGGTGTTGTGAATCACTCCCCAACAATGAAAGAGAAGGTGCAGTGAGCCAGGATGGGTGGCAGGAAAGGATAGGGCAGGGCAGGGCAGGGCAGGTGTGCAGAGAGCAGACCAGGTTGCGGGAGGGAGAGTATTACGTACAGATCCAGAGCGGGTGGAGGTGCTGCTCATCATGCTGTCACAGCTGCCGACACGGGTCACGGGTTCTGAGCCAGTCCCCGCTGGCCACAGCTCCCTCTCGGGCATCACCCGAAACAAGGTGCAGGGATGGCAAAGGGGGCTTCTAGAGGGGAAGCGAGGGGAAGTGAACAATGTCCCAAGCCGGGCCTGAAAAGAGAAGAATCAAAGCCACACATGAGCCGAGGCTTCGGCAAGGCTCTGCCCAGGCCCTGGGCGGCATGGCGGGAAGGACACCAAGCAAGCAGAGAGCTGGAAGGGGGGCATGAACAGCCACTGCCCGACACCCCCGGCCTGCATGGAAGGACCCTGAAGCTGGCTTAAATACATGCAGAAGGACAGACTTAGTTGGTGGAGAGGCAGTCTAGTCAGAAAGAAGCTTCTACTACTTCTCTTACATTTTTCTCTGAACCAAGGAGCTTAATCTACATTTTCATTACTATAAGCAATAAATATTACAGGCGTCAATACCTTGGGTTCTGGAGTTAGTTGGGTCTGGGCTCAAATCCCAGTTTAGCCATTTACAGTTATGTGACTTGGGGCAAATTACTCTGAGTCTGTTTTTCCTCATTAAATAATGTTAGTATAAGGATTAAATGAGAGAACAGTTAGCACAGTTTAGTTGGTAGTAAATACCCTAAGACCTCATGAGTCAATAATTAACTATTATTGTTCTTGTAACAAGAAAAAGACAAGATCTATCTAGGATCAAACTAAATTGAAACAAGAGAAACAGGATCTCAGAAAAGAAGGGTTCTGGTTTGATGGGAGACTGTAGACTTGAGAGAAGAAACAGGTCCCTTAATAATACCTACCTCATGGGGTTATTGTGAGAACGTTTAAAACACTTTGCACAGAGCAAATTGTCACCTGCTATCACAGTCAATATCATCAACATCATCACAACCACCGCTACGATACCCATCTTTAACTCCCTAGCCTGGAGGCATGAACAGGGCACCTGCAGTGGTTGACACAAACCTATTTTCTTTCTAGTGAATCTCTTTCTTTCTAGTGCCTCTGTTGTTGCACACATTCCCAATGAGATTCCCTAGCCTATGTCAAATGAACAAGAGAAATGTCCCATGTAGCTTCCTCCCAACTCTAATTCCTTAGGGAAAAAAAGTTTCAATGTCATTGTAACAATAGTAGTAGCAAAGGAAGGCAGTGCCATCTTCCCTCTGAAAGTCCCAAGGATTTTGATGTGGCTGTTTGTGGGAAATACTCCACTGGAGATGGCAGGCCAGAAGTGAGTCTGCTATGTTAAAATGAAATTCTAAAAGAATTAAGATGAAAAGACAGTTCCAAGATCAAACAGAGAGTTGGAGGAGAGCCAGAATTAGAATAAAGTTTGTCTGATTCTAAATCCATATTTTCCTTATAATGCCATCCTATATTTTCTTTCATCTTTCCAACCCTCCCAACACTAGGTAAAATGTCCTAGAAGAAAACGTGATCTATTTGAGATCTGGAGGCTTGGGCTTTGGATGCCAGGGCAGATGTCCTCTTGGCCTCTGGTAATAATTGCTTCCAGTGCCAAAGTCAAGTTTGGGCTGGGTTGGGTGAGTCAGCTTTCCATCCCTATAGAGCTGGCAAGTATGGAGCCCCAAGGAGCTCCTCTTCTGCTTGGGAGGAGTCTCTTAAAAGGGGCAGGTATGGAGGGGCAGAACACTGGGGGGAAAACAGGAGAGATCCCTAGTGAGCCAGACATCTGGTTCATAGGGGTCCAGATCCTCCTAGGAGATAAGGAGGGGACTGGAGGGGCAGAGACACCAAAGAAGCCCAATGATAAATAAATGTGGGGTGAGGAAGCTCTTAGGGTTTCTTCATGAGGTTAGCTCCCCAATACCCAGAAGCTCAAAGAAACAGGAACATGAGAAATCATGTGGATGAAGTTCAGTCATCTCAGCTACCCACTCCATGAATGATGCCCAAGTTCAGGGAGGACTAACCCATTCCTAACATTGTGTAGGGTTGAGGCCACTATAGCAAAGGAGCTCCATCTCTGTGAGTCTAGGCACACAGAAAACACTCAAAAAATGCCGAATGAATGAACTTGCCATCTGTTCTAGGGTCTATTAGGTTGAGCTTTTGGAAGGCTTCTTCTTGGTTTCTAACCTATAACTGTCAGCTTTTACTTAAATACTTAATTTCCTGGATAATATATGGCTCAGTGAAATTTGGGCAATGTTTTCAGTTAAACTAACATTTATGAGCACCTAATAATAGGCGCTGGTGTTACAAAACTGTATAAGACAAAGGCATTGTTGTCAAAAAGTCAATGTAGATCTAAGGGTCTAGTTTTGGGCTCCAATTTTCTTCTCTGTAAAATCAGGGCAGTAAATATTTAAAGTGACTCACTGTAATTAACATCATATTCTCTATGAATGGGTGAGCAGATGCTGCCTCTTACTTTCAGAGAAAATTACTACCCTTGTGCTTCTAAGTATGCTTTAGACTTTACAGAGGTTTTCTAGTCTCTCTTTCCTACCAGGGAAGCTTATCACACTTTTGTTTCAGAACCTAGGATGTCTTCAAGTAGCTGGAAGAGATAAAAGTGGTAGGAAAAGCACTGCTTCACAAGAACACAGCATGCCATAGCTTGCAAAGTACTCTCAGATATGCTAATTCGATCTTCAGCATAAACTGGAAACATAGGCAGGATGTGACGTTTTCTTCATTTTACGGGTGAGAAAGTTATGGCTCTTACCACTAGCCCTTCCTAAGGGAAACAGGGAATGACCTATACATGCATATACAGGGCAGCCCTCCACAGGGCATTTCAGGGACTATCTGGATGCAAGAGGGGCATGCCCCCGAGAATGGTTACTAGCCACCCCTGACTAAAATACTAAAAGCCTTAAAACCCCCTTCTCCTTCTACTTCATACCTTAAACCCTGCAAATCATCTGCTTCAGCTTTATACTTCCAGACCAGTGTATTGCCCCAACAGCAGATATTTCTACAGTAAAGAAATGACACCAACTGCCAAGGAAGATCATGTCTTTAGGGATTACATAATCCCTGCACAGAGGAATCTGAACCTGAAACCAAAGCTGAGCGAGGCGCTGTCACCTCATCTCCATACCTAGTTTTCTGACCTAAAGAATCTTAATGGTGAAAGCTGCATTTCCTTTCACCGACTTCACAACCTTGAACCTTGGGGCTCTTTCAGGGCAGCCATCGAAACCCTGATAAGAAGACTGAGAAACAAACAAAACACTCAAGGTGAGAGTTTGGTATCTTAACCCTTGACCTCTTTGGGAACTTAACGGGAGGAGGGAATGGGTTAAGAAATATGCAGCACCTATAGTCAGGGCCACCCATCCAAAGACACATTAAATATTAACTACACCACTGACTAAAATACTAAATACTGCCAAGCCTTGGAGGAGAGGAAATAAAGAACAGTTCAAGTTCTGGCATCTGGAGATGGTGGGGTGGGGAGAGGGCTCCAGCTCCATTCCAGGTTGGCTTGTCTGTACCTTCTAATCAGACCCAGGTCCCTCTCATCCTCCTCCCACGAACCCCCCACATGTCCTCCAAGAGCTTTGCCTCTCTGCCTACTAGTCAAAGAGGTTTCCTGTCTTTCAATCCAGGTGTCTTTGCTTCTTGTTGACTACCCAGAAATGTGCCTTGGGCTGGAAAATATCCTAAGAAAAATAGCAGAATGACTAAAACTTGCACAGTTTGCATATCTGTCTCCATGAACACATGGGCAAGTTTCTGTGTGTGTTTAGGCAACATTATCATCTTCCCTTTCACCAGTGTGTTTGAGGGAAGGAGCAGGTAGAAATACCCTCTGCATAGCAGAGCTTTGTTAGACACTGCCAGTGGTCTTTATTCCTAAATTCACCATCTAGGGCAGCCCTCAGTCTGTGAGTGTGGGGTGTTGGCTCTGTGGTGTGAGGTGAGCTCAAGCCTAAATCTCCAGTTGCCAGGACTGGAAAACCCATATATTCACTCAGGGCTGCGTGTGCCAGGCCCTTGAGCCTGGCACTGAGGGCTTCCCACTTCCCTCTTCTCTGCAGCAGGAGGAAAAGAGTCAAAGTTAGGGACCAAAGGGTTAAACCCCCCAAGATGGATAATGGAGAGGCAACTTGCTACTCTGACTCGACTCCTACATCTGCCTTCCTTCTGCAGGTAAATCTGCCACACAAACTGCCAACTGGGACACCTGCAGGAAAACAAACAAAGCCACCACCCTGGTCTGCTTCTCTGTCTGTGGACTCTGCCACACTACCTTGGCTTGAGCCCCACTTGGAACTCTAACTAGACTTGACATGCAGCCACGAAATATTCATGTGGGTGAGGCTCGGCACAGCCAGGTAGCTTTCTGTTTGCCAGTCTCTGTGTCTATTAACAGGCTGAGTCAGAAAGTTAATTGAGTAGAATCCAAATAAACTTGACTTTGCAGCTAGATTATCCATGGGTTTTCCAAAGATGAGCTGGTAGCTGAAGTTTTCTCCATGTGCCCCAACCTCATATCCCTTTACAAACAACCTAGTACAGCTCATGCCTAACACACCTGTACACAGAGAGCTCCATTATCACATGAGCATGATCAAACACACACACACATTGCACCCATTATTTAAATAAAGATCGACACCGAGTTGGTAAAGCCACGGGAGAATTTCCTGTTACAGTCGCTATGGAAAACCAAGATACTCTCCCCCATTTTGACTCCCTCTATTTCAACTGTTCTTTTCTAAAATCACAACTCAATTTCAATTGTTCAGAGATGGAAATTTCCAAAACAAATCTATTTTCTTTTTCTTGTTGTTTGCACAATATGCCTATCCAACCTAAAGGGATAAATGAAAAAGAAGGTGCCTCCCAGCCCCAGTCTCCACAAAAACACTACAATCTCAAGTTGCTACCAACCTGATCTGATCCCAGAATGGACTCAGAGAATTGAGGAACAGAGAGGAAATCTCCCTAGCTGGGGTATAGAGGGACACCTCCCCTCCCCTGTAGCTCTGATTTCCCATGAAACCCCTTCCTATTGCTATAGGATAAGCAATAGTTGGTTAGTGATTAACTCACCTCCACTGGGTTGGGGGCTGAAGAGAGAAAAGAAATACCCTTTTGTTTCAAAGGGCAGAGATGGAGACAGAGGCTGCTTCCCCTGCCTCCTACTGTTTTCTTCTCCTTTTGAGCTCCTCCTGACTTACCTAGATAGGTAAATGCTTCATCTGTGCTGCCTGGCCCCCACCCTGCCACTGACTCAGCCAATCCTAGCCTCCCCTCCCTACCTCTCATTCCAGCTGTTTCCTCAGGGAGGGAATGGGAGGGGAATGAGCAGGGTGGTGCTGTTCCCTCTTAGCCAATCATCTCCTACCCTCCCCTTTCCTGTTTAGAGCTAATAAAGAGCTCTTTAAAAAAGGAGGGCTGGAAGGAGGAGGAGCCGGTTTGGGCTGAGACTGGAAGGACAGGTGGCAGGGAGGGAGTAGGCAGAGATAGTATATATATTTAATGTTGATATAAAGGAACGCAGACAGTCCTCTGGGCAGTGTGCTTTTCCATAGGTCTATGTGAAACAGGTTTTTCATCTAGAACTACCTTCTTCCGCTTGGAGCTTAGTTTTCCCCTGAATTCTCTAGGCTAAACTCATTTGTGTTCAGTTTTGCTGCTAGCTTTTCTAGATGTTGAAAGTCACTTTCTTCCCCAAGCCTAATCCTAGCTCATAAGCCTAGCAATTCCATTCATGTCCACTGAAGAAGGTGTCCCCAGGCTAGGGATGCTGTAGTTGGGCCAGTCTCGCCCCAGTGCTTGCCAACAATCTCCTTGGCCTAATTTATTTCTGGGGGAAATAAAACCATTCATCCCCTAAGAGGTCCGTGTCCTGATGAAAGAGTGACTGGACAGCTTGAAAGGAGAGAGCATGCACTCTGTCATTTGGTCCTCTGCTCTCTTTTGGCTGTTCATGGAAGGTGGCAATACATATTATGAAATAAAAACAAAACAAACTACCAACCAGTTTAGCAACTCTTGTCTCCTTTCATGGACTGATACTTGGCATTCGTAGGGAGAAGAGAGTAGGTAGAAGAATCTACTATTTTTGGGAAGAAATTTCCCACCAGGTACAGAGACCACTCTTAACAGATATGATTTTTGCCTGGAAGCTGGTTTTTCCTACAGGTAGATTATCCTTGATAGGTATCAGGATTTGAGGTATTCCACTTACTAGCATTAAAAGGTCAGGGAGAAAATTTAAAATCAATGTACACAATAATTGCCAAAATGTATTAAGCTCTTGCTATTTGCTAGGTATTGTGCTGAGCATTTTCATGTATCTTTTAATTTAGTCTTTAACTTAAAAAAGTAGGCATTTGTTAATATCTAAATTTTACAGGGAGGTTAAAAATCTTTTTCAAGGCCATGTAGCTAGGAAGAGGCAGGGCAGAGATTTTAATTCAGGCAGTATAACATCAAGGTTGCTATGAATCAGCATAATGCCAATCCGCCTCTATTTTGGAAGGAATCTCAAGTGGGAATCATGAAATACACAGATAATTTGCAAGTGTAATTCTAGCTATTAGATTCGTCCTTTTCTGTTTCATTTCCTACTTAAAGCTATTAATATGTTTTATAACAAGACGACACATGGCTTTCATCTTTTCTCTTTCTGTGATCATGGTTGGATAGGAAATAAAAAGGGCAGTGATCCTGGGGCCAAGGTAAAGATGAAGTGGAGCAGGACTAATGGATAGGAAGGAGGTTGGAGGAAGCCTGGGATAACCCAGTACCCTATCAGCAGCCTATGGATATCACAGCTGAATGAGCACTTCGGGCTATGACCTCTTTCCCTGGTGTGTCATTCAAACATATATGATGTCATAATACTAACAAAACAGGAAGGGCATCTCCAAATCAGCAGTTCAGTGCAACCAGAGTCACACCCATGGATGAAGTCAATGAAGTTGATCCAGCTCCATAGGTGTGTGATTTGAACATTTGCTAAAAAAATGAATTGACTTATGAGAATTAACTTCCAAGAGGATAGTAGGCAACAGTCTTATTTGTGAACAGACACAGTTTTTCAGTTATAATAAAATTAGGATAACTAGGAGGAACCCCTATCTTTTACCAGGTAGAAGCAGGGACATAGACAAAAATCATCTTTCCCTTCCTCCCTTTCCTCTCAAAAACTTTTTCTTTTTGTAAATTATGAAATATTTCAGATACACTGACATAACAAACATAACCGTACCTAACATCCAGTTCAGGAAATAAAACATAAACATCACAGTCGAAGTTACTTACAAGCCTTGAGCCTCCCCTCCCTGCAAACACATATATGTCCTAGCTGAAATAAATCACTATTTCAAATTTTCTTTTTTCCATTCTCCATGTACTTAAATGTTTTCCCTGGAATTCATATTGTTTTTGCTTTGTTTTATTTTTGCTTAGAAATATACCAAGTCTCTAACATTCCAAGAGAGTTGGAAAGGAGGCCTGGACTACAGAAAAGGGAGGATTTCCAAAGTCAGTCAAAAGCCTGAAAGAATAAGACTTCCTGGTTGATATAGGTCATCATTTGAGGGGGTATGTGTGTCATTGCTCTTAGTATGTAAATGCCTGTTTGATGACCAGACTCTGTGGAAACTAATTACAGCCCAGCTCACCTGACTCATCTGTTCTCTCCTTCTCCATTCTTGCATGCTGTTGTGGTCATCTCTTTGACTGTCAGAGGCTAGTTTATGATTTCCTTTCTCAGTACAACCTCCCCACTTAGGCACCTCCCTTCCCTCTAAGTGCACATGCAAGGTGTGTTAGTCCATTTGCATTGCTATAAAGGAATACCTGAGACCTAGTAATTTATAAAGAAAAGAGGTTTGGCTGGCATGGTGGCTCATGCCTGTAATTCCAGCACTTTGGATGGCCAAGGCAGGGGGATTGCTTGAGCTCAGGAGTTGGAGACCAGCCTGGGCAACATGGCAAAACCCTGTCTCTACTAAAAGTACAAAAATTAGCCAGGTATGGCAGTGCGCACCTGCAGTCCCAGGTGCTCGTGGGGTGAGGCGAAAGGATGGCTTGAGACCGGGAGATCAAGGCTGCAGTGAGCCATGATTATGACACTGCACTCCAGCCTTGGTGACAGAGCAAGACCCTGTCTTAAAAACAAACAAACAAACAAACAAAAAAAACAAAAAAAGAAAAGAGGTTTGTTTTGCTCATGATTCTACAGGCTGTACAGGCATGGTGCTAGCATCTGCTAAGCTTCTGGTAAGAGTCTCAGGAAGCTTACAATCGTAACAGCAGGCAAAGGGAGAGCAGGCAGTGTCACACGGTGAGACAGGGAGCAAGAGAGAGGAAGGAGGTGCTAACATGCGTACTCAGTATACATTTATTAATATTTATTTTATTTGCTATAATGACTCATTATTAACAATAGACAGGGCCATGGAACATACACTTATCACATAGTACGTTAGTCTGTTTGCATTGGTGTAAAGGAATACCTGAGACCTAGTAATTGATACGGAAAAGGGGTTTGGCTGGGCATGATCTCATGTGAGAACTTAGAACTTACTCATTACAAAAGGACAGCACCAAGACATTCATGAGGGATCTGCCCCCATGACCCAAACGCCTCCCACTAGGTCCACCTCCAACTTTGGAGGTCACATTTCAACATGAGATTTGGAGGGGACAGAACATTCACACTATATCACATGGCAAAAACTCTAAGCATGGCAGACTGAATAGACTGTAACCACTTGTCTCCTACCTGCTGGTGTCTTGGTTCCCAGAAATGTCACATTTAATGGTTGACTCCACATGTCAGCATTTCCTGCTCTTGCTTTTGATTTGGTGTTACTGGATTCCTTTGAGTCACTAACATCTTTATGTTGATCGCATAACAGGCAGATTAGTACCACTATAACTTCATGAGTAACAACCTCAAATGGGTACTTTATACTTCAGGCAATTACTACTTTTCTCTAGGAAGCTGGATTTCCCATTTTCTGAGACCACTCTTTTTCTCTCTCCATAAACTGTCTACCTCTCTTTCACTCCATTTTCATATAACAACTTTGTCACCAATTTTGAAAGCTTCAGTATGACAACAGTAGTCAAGAGGCAGGAATGCCACATTCCCATCCCCAAATTTACAAACCTAACTTCCTCTGCACCCATTTTCTTCTTTTTTCCTGTCAGTACAACAACAACAAAAACCATGTTTTTCCTATAAAATCCTGTCATCCATTGTGTGTGCTCTGAATCTCATTTCACCAACTCTATCCCTGTAACCTTCTCTCCTGCATCATCATTTTGACCTTTCTCCTAAAATAATTCCCATCAGCTTTTTAAAATCTGCTGTCAGTTACCACACATCCAACTGCTTGTTAACTAATTTGTTAAAAATTACTTGAAAGTTAGCAGCTCACTAACTTCCGAAATGTTGTTGCTATTATTTACCCCACTATCTCTTTGTCCTTGAGTGTAATTCCATTACTATCATTTTACTGAAGTTTTGGGAGAGTGGAGGTTAGTGAATATGTTCAACTTGTTATCTTTAACCAGACATCCCTATTTACTCTTCAACTCATTTCTATCTGGCTACTTTCTCCTTGACTCCCCTAAAACAGCTCATGCTAAGGTCATCAATGAACTCCAGTTTGCCAAATCCTATAGACTGTTTGAATTCTTCTCTATCTTGTCTTTCTATAACATCCAACACAGCTGGCCACTTTCAGTTTTTTTAAAAAACTATTTTCTCTTGAATTCCATGACATAAAGTTCTCTTGCTTCTCTAATCTCTCCTGAACCCTCAGTTATCCTTGGTGGCTCTTTCTTCAACTAACTTTTAAATGCTAGTTCTTCTTCCCTTACCTGGCTCCTTAAATGTTGGGAGTTACTTGCAGCTTGGTGCTGAGTCTTCCTCCCTATATACACTCTCTCTACCTTCTCTCTTCCATCCACACAGCTTTTATCTATAGGTCAACAAGTCCAAAATTTAGGTCTTTGTCTTTAGATATATCTTTTGAACTTCAGACCTGTAGATGCCTACATGATCTCTGCTTTCACATGATTCACAAACATCTCAAACTTAACATGTCTTAACTCTTTTCTTCTCTATTCTCTCCAAATACTTCCCCCCTTCATCTTCCATGAATCAGTAAATGTCACTTTTTCCTACCAGTTGATTGAGTAAATATTATTCCACATCACCAATTCTTGGAGATCCTATCTCTAAATTATATATTACATCTATCCTCTTCTCTTGACATCTACATGGCCCAAGCCATCATCCACTTATTAGCTGTTTGTCCTTGAGGCAGTTTAAACTTTATAATTCTCAGTAATCATATCTATAAAATAGAGATGATAATAATAGCACATAACTTATAGAGTTATTGTAAAGATTACATGAGATAATACATGAAGAGTGCTGAGTATACTGTGAGCACTCAGTAAATGCTAACTATGATAATGCTCACCGTCATCACTTCCATATGTTACTGTAGTAGCCTCCTCCTCACTGGTACTCCACTTCCACTCCGCCCTCTTCAATCTCTTCTCCACAGGGCAGTTACAGTAAATTTTGAGGAACATCAATCTGATGCCTTCCTTAAAATGCTTGAATATCCTCCCAATGATCTTAGGATAACTTTATTCCTTTACAGGAATAAACTTCATTGACTTTATTCATTCACATGTTCATTCATTCAACTATATATCGAATGTCTATTGTAGATCCAGCCCCTTATTAGGTGTTAGGAATACAGCAATAACAAAAGTCACAACTAGTTCCTGCCCTTGTGGAGTTTACAAAGTAATTATGAGCACAAACATAAAATAAGCAAATAAAGCCTGTTAAATATGAATTCGAGGAAATGCTTAATATAGCTTATAGATGCTGCAAATCTGGATCCTTGCCTGCTTCTAATACTTTATTTCATGTCCCCTTCTCCTGTTTATCATACTGTGACCAGACTGGTCTGAAAAATATTTCATTTCCTTCTGCAACATCATGTTTGCAAATGCTGTACCCTCTATTTGAAATGATTTTATTTTTCAACTGATTAGTTCTTATTCATGCTTCAGATTTCAGCTTAAATGTCATCTTCTCAAAGTCTTTCCCAGATTCACCAATTTTAATTCGATTCTCCCACCCAATTATTCTTTTCATAGCATCTGTATTTATTTTTCACATCAGACAGGTAATGTGCTGATGTCATAACAAGGTTTGAGAGAGTCATCACATCCCACACATAAGTGCAAAACCCCAATCATCACACTTATGAACTACAAAAGGATCTCATAGCACTTGTATTTTTATTTCTTTGTAGTGTTGTTTTTTCTTTCCCTCCAAATTATACCCACCACCTAGGGAAGTTCCTGGTATGACATTAGCATTCAGAAATGTTTATTAAATGAATTAATATTATTGCAATCTTGAGGTATTTGACACCATATTTTGCAATAAGTAAAAGCTCAATGAGGATTTGTTAAACCATTTAACAATTTTCCGAGATAAGTTATTACCTTAGCTTTTCCTAGCCAAATTCAAGATCATTTTCTTGATCTTCATTGTAAGAGTAAGAAAAACAAGGCTAGATCTTTGGATGTTAAAGGATGAACCTAATGAGAGGGTAACTTTGGCAGTATGTCAACATAATGCAAAATCTGCTCCTTAGTTTTGTAGGTTTAAAAACTCAAATTGATCAATGTACTCCATAATATTAACACTCTAGGAGAGGTAATTCAATCCAATAAAATTCATTAGAGAAAGAGTTATCAACCCCAATACAAAACAGTTAAGTCATAGTGGAAGAAAGTTTGGAATTCCAGTAACTGTAAAATTTTGTCCATAATTAGGAATAGTAATTTTATGAAATGTCCTACATAACAGACTCTAAAAATAGATTCTTATTCCATAAAAAGGACATTTCCATTTAATTCAATATAAATATCCGACAGAATGGAAATGAACTGTGTTAGAAAAATATTTATGGTTACTTGATAAAGTGACTTTTCCTATTGGACAGTTCTAAATAAACCCTGACAAATTCTTACGAAACCCTTCTTTCCTCCATTGTTGACAGAAAAATTATTACATCATTTGTTTCATACCTGATATTTCCAAGATTACATGTTTTAAAAAAAAACCCCACGCTTTTATGGTAGTTGTTTCTTGATTATCTTAGGAAAGGTGCTGCTGAGGACTTCCACTTCCAGGAATGCTGGACTGGGTAATTCAGACAAACTCTCCTGCTGTTTGCAGTGTAGAGCCAAAAAGATAGTGAAGAATTTGGCAGGCACTAAGGACACAGGCCTGGATCAAGGTGAGGATAGGTCTGGTGTGTTGTGTCCAACATTTGAGGCCAGCCACTTTTCCTCTGGAGACATTTGTCTGTTCCAAAATGGGTGGCTGAGATGCTGAGAGGCTGAGTGGTACTTCTGACAGCTTAAGAGAACAAGGAGAACAGGCATCAGAGTTCAGGGTCCACCAATTAATGTGCTCTAGTGAGCCACACTCACTGCAGGTTGGGACCTCAGAGAGCTGCACCATAGGAGTGAGCATGACCTCTTCCAGCACTGGCGTGGGGACTAGCTGTGTTGGACTTACAAGTTATGGTGATGTCTATACACTCAGTGAGATAGGTAAGGGTTATTGGGAATAATTTTGTCTACATTTTGTACTTAACTTCGGTATTGATTTCAAACCTGACTCCTGAGTCAGCAGCAACTCCAAACAACTCCAGATTAATAGCTTTTCGGCTTATTGCAGTGATTCAACAGGGCCATCTTTAGGGTTTTAGAACATGGCCAAGTCATTATGACATCTGCTCCAATACCTCAAGATTCACTAATGAAGTCCTCCAAGTGAATACAGAGAAATGCCACAGGAATAAGATCAGAAAACTTCACTTCGTGTATGGAAGGAATTCTAGGTCAGAAGGGCAGAGAAGTTAAAAGAGTGGCAGCTACTAAAGCAAAGAGAGAGAAGGCTATTCATTCTTTGAGAGCTATTAATAGTTTCTTAGGAATTCTTGAATTCATTTTATGAGGAAATCATAAAAGTTTCAGTGGGCTTAGGGGAATATGTTTGTGTCTTGTTTTCGTCTGGTAAACATCCTCAAAATTTATAAACAAAATAGAGACAAAGACAATCCAAGTCAAAACAAAATAGAAAATATATTTGAAATGCCTGCTTTTCTGTTCTTGAATGTCTCATTCAGGCTTAAAGATATAAGATAAGCATAGATACTTACCATCCAGTAAGTATACACTTTGCCAAATACATGTCCTGCTTTGTAGCCTTCGCCACATAACTAAGAGCACAAGCCACTCTTTTTCTAAGCTCTAATGGGATGGTAAAGAGGACAGAAAAAAACTACGTTTTACTTTTTGTAGTTATAACTAGCATTTAAAACAGATTTTTTTTTTTTTTTTTTTTTTGAGACAAGAGTCTCGCTCTGTCGCCTAGGCTGGAGTGCAGTGGCGCTATCTCGGCTCACTGCAAGCTCCGCCTCCCAGGTTCACGCCATTCTCCTGCCTCAACCTCCCAAGTAGCTGGGACTACAGGCGCCCGCCACCACGCCCGGCTACTTTTTGTATTTTTAGTAGAGACAGGGTTTCACCGTGTTAGCCAGGATGGTCTCGATCTCCTGACCTCGTGATCTGCCCTGCCTCGGCCTCCCAAAAAGCTGGGATTACAGGCATGAGCCACCGCGCCTGGCCAGATTTTTTTTTTTTTTTAATTATACTTTAAGTTCTGGGATACATGTGCAGAACGTGCAGTTTTGTTACATAGGTATACATGTGCCATGGTGGTTTGCTGCACCCATGAACCCGTCATCTACATTAGGTATTTCTCCTAATGCTATCCCTCCTCTTACACCCCACCCCACTGACAGGCCCCAATGTGTGATGTTCCCTTCCCTGTGCCCATATGTTCTCATTGTTCAACTCCCACTTATGAGTGAGAACATGCAGTGTTTGGTTTTCTGTTCCTGTGTTAGTTTGCTGAGAATGATGGTTTCCAGCTTCATCCATGTCCCTGCAAAGGACGTGAACTCATTCTTTTCTATGGCTGCATAGTATTCCATGGTGTATATGTGCCACATTTCTTTATCCAATCTATCATTGATGGGCGTTTGGGTTGGTTCCAAGTCTTTGCTATTGTGAACAGTGCTGCAATAAACATATGTGTGCATGTGTCTTTATAGCAGAATGATTTAAATCCTTTTGGTATATACTCAGTAATGGGATTGTTGGGTCAAATGGTATTTCTAGTTCTAGATCCTTGAGGAATCGCCACACTGTTTTCCACAATGGTTGAACTAATTTACACTCCCACCAACAGTGTAACACGTGCCTATTTCTCCACATTCTCTCTAGCATCTGTAAAACAGATTTTAAGATGATAGGGACCTAATGACTTCTAGCACTATTTCTCATGCAAAAGACTACCTCCATTACTAATGTATTTTGATAGCTTTCATTTTCATTCTTGTTAGGTTTTTAATGTAAGTTTACTTTGCAACAATATCTATCCTTTTTTAGTCTGAGTTCTTTCCTCTAGGGCCTCAGAGAATAAATCTAATTCATCTTTTATACATGTCCCAAAATTTGAAGTTAGCTAACATGTCAATCTCTTCTTTTCCCCCTCATTTCTTCAGCCTCCAAGACGGCCATCAAACCTGTTTTTCACCACATTTTACAGGTAAAACCCACATCCAAACCTCCAATGCAACATGACCAACATTAAGACTATTGCGGCCAGGCGCAGTGGCTCACGTCTGTAATTCCAGCACTTGGGGAGGCTGAGGCGGGCAGTTCACGAGGTCAGGAGATCAAGACCATCCTGGCTAACGTGGTGAAACCCCATTCCTACTAAAAATACGAAAAATTAGCTGGGCGTGGTGGTGGGCGCCTGTAGTCCCAGCTACTTGGGAGGCTGAGGCCAGAGAATGGTGTGAACCTGGCAGGCGGAGCTTGCAGTGAGCCGAGATCACCCCACTACGCTGCAGCCTGGGCGACACAGCAACACTCTGTCTCACAAAAAAAAAAAAAAAAAAAAAAAAAAAAAAAAGACTATTGCTTCCTTTTTCCTGCTCTTTCAAGTATTAAAATGCAGCTATTTTTGCAACCTAAGCCATAGTACTCTATTCGGATCAGAATTAGAATTAAGTACCATTGCTTCGTCTTTTGTCAAACCAACTATAAAGCCAGGTTTTCCCTCATGCTGAACTCACATAATGGATTGTTTAGAATTCAAGGGCAGGACTTCACATTTAGGAATATTCAACGTTAGGATTTTTTGGCTTGTTGAGATTTTTGAATTGTCATTCATTGTTCTACAAATCTTCTCTGGATTTACATTATCTGTAAACTTAATAACTGTAAGTGGTGAGTGAAAATGAATTGCATGAGGCTAAGGACATAAAACTGGTATAAGCCATAAGAGATCTCTCGCAAGTTGATTAATGGTTCATTTAAACCACCATGGTGATAGCCACGATTCCCAAACTTTTTTTTTTTTTTTTAAATCATGCATCAGAATCGCCTGGTGGGCTTACTAAAATTGATTGTTGGGTCTCACCAATTTCTGATGTCCTTCTGAGCACTTGCATTTCTAACAAGTTCCCAGGTAATGTGATGACCAACTTTGGGAAGCATTGCTTTATGGGCACAATTAATCATTCAATAAGCTTCCATCACACAACCCAACCGATTCTTTATGAACCTTGTAATGTGAAGTTTGGCTTGACTTATTCTTATGTTGGATGTACACTGACCCCCAGAAATATATTTTATGCTGCTGTACAAACTGATTAGATATTATTATACTTCCACGTCCATAATTTTAAAGCTTTCAATGAGAAAGAATGGGTTAAATAGTTTAGTTTAGTTAGGGAACCTGAACTCTGGCCAATTGTAATAGCCACAGGGTTGCTTCAAATACATGTTTAAATGTTGACATTGCCAAAGATGAAATAAACCCTCCTATAGTGATGTTGCTGTTTTCAAACAGATCTAAGTTCACAAAGATTGCAGTCTATTAGAAAATAAATATTAAGCCTTTCCACACTGACAACTTGTCAGCAACAAATATTGAATTACAACTTGTAGGATTGGATTTAGAAAAAAATTTAGTCAATGAATGGGAATTTCAACCTTTCGTTAAGGAGAAATACCTTAGTTTCTCCTGTCTCATTCATTGAGTCCGCCTAAAGGGTGATATTTGGCAGATTTTGGTACCTTAGTTAAAGATTCGGTAAGCTTTTGATAATATGTATATTGAGTAAAATAGCCGTTCAGTGGCCATATCTGCCCTGATCCCAAAATATACTCAAACAACGTTTTCACTTCATTTATTCCTTTGAAACAAGTCACTTAATACAGCATTTAGATATTTAAAGTCATACACCTCATAAATAAAATCAATGCATCTTAATGACAATGGCAAAATCACATAAGAGTTGTAGAAAATGAAGTTAGACATCTTCCAGGTAGCAGCAGTGTATTACTTCAAAAAATGCTGGCAAATAGGCAAAACATTTTTAAAACAAGAAAACACTGTCCATCTGCATTAAGAAAAAATATTTTCTTATGCTGTTTTGCCCATCCCTACTTTTTCAAGTCATATTCTAAAGCTCTAATTTGACGGTCTTTACTTGTGGTTTTCTTTTTGCGTTAGGAACCTCTGTCTCTACTGCATTAATACAGAAACTATAGGAATATTGTTGTTCTCTAACCCTTTTCACAAACTATTCATATTCATTCTGTATTTAGGCTGAATTCAAATTTTTTTCAAGGAAAAATACTATTCTGCTAAGTACATATTTCCTGTAAACAGCTGGAGTCCTGAATGGCACCAATGTGACTGGAAAACTGACAAAAATTAGGTCCCCTGGTCCTTTAAGTAACTTACGGGCTAATTACATAGCCTATACCAGTTTATAAAGTAGACTCATGTAATCATATTAGAAATTCTGAGCCTAAGATGATCCTTTCTGTTTACCTACAACTTAATCAAATTATATCTTCACCATTCCTAAACTCCTATATGTTGGTTAGTACTTTTAAAAACATATGTATAAAAGGGCATCATGGCAAAATGCTTATAATTCATGGTTTCATACTTTAATGATAAGCTTTTTCACCTATGGCCATGCTACATTCTATGACAAGAAATGGGGAAGAAGGGTTGAGTTGACACAAAGGCATTGCTTTAAAAATGTTTGGAAAAGGGTAATTCATGACTAGGAATGCATCTATTTGACAATCTCTTCTTTATCAGTGGTACTTTGTCTTCTTGGCCCTTTTCTCCCTTCACTCTACCATGAGGGGGTTACCAACCTCCTTTAAATGTGTATGAATCAAGACCTAAATCAGCACCCTACAATTCAACATCAATAATAATTTTAAGTCAAACATTCAAAGCACTGTAAGCAAAATGCTAGATAATTTTGAGAAAAATAAACACTCTCCCACAACCAGGGACACTTAATATTCTTTTTATGTGGAATGAAATGTGCTGAAATACTGTAACATAAGAAAACAGCTTTAGTTTATAAACTAGCTTATTCAAATCAAGTGTTTCACTTTGGACTTAAAATGATGCCACTTGTATATGACACGTTTAAGGCCTCTGACTCAAAAATCAGCTTCCTTATAAGTCTGCTTGGAAACAAGTTTTAAGGATCGAATCTTTTAGAAATTATCAGTCATCTCTGCACTACAAGGACAAATTTGAATACTGCATTGTATAATAATACAAGATATTCACATAATAATAAGTAACATTTTTAATGCTAGGGCACAGACCATGCTCCTAATAGTTACTGAAATTGAGTTCTACTGTTATCAAAACACCAGAATGTTGTGCCAATAGATACACTCTACACTGATGGCAATCTTTGATTAAGAAGAGCTGATGGTTAGTAGCTCAAGAATTGTACTTTAATGTCCTTAATTAGATCCCTAGAGGGCCAACATGTAAACTTTTATTCCATATATATTTTTTAAAGTGCTGCAAACAAATGTGTCTCCACACATGAAAGAACATAATTCTTAGTATGTTTAGGAAGGCCACCTGATTTGTCAAAAAAAAAAAAAAATCACTCTTGCTTAATCTTGCATACTTCCCATTCCATTTTTTTTCCCAAAAAGATGTAAGAAAACTATGTTTAGCTTAGGGCAACTTGCAACACCCACGTTTTAATCCCTCCACAGAAGGAATAAACTAGAGAAGCAAGTTAGGCATGGGCATTTAGGGACACAGACAAATTAGATAGATAACATAATGTTAGTTAATTCCTCATTATTATTTTGCTGGGACTTCATGGAATAATCAAGCGGCATGACTACATTAGTTGTTAAAAACAGGGTCAAACTGACCAGCAGTCAAGCGTCAAGGGTACCACTTGACTATGCTAATTTCATGGGAAACAATGAAGAAATCAACCATGAACCATTAGCAAAAGATGGAACACACTAATGTCTTCACTTGGCTAACACATCACAAAATTTCCAGGTATGTTAAATTTTAGCTTCTGAAATCACTTTATTCAGGAGTGAATCTTCATAGTACTACACCTGACCTTTAATCCAAAGAAAAGTAAGAGAAAGGAAGAAGGGTGGGGTGGGAAAGTGAGGTCTTTATTCACTTTGCCACTAATATAAACTGTCATTTTAATTTTTAAAAAAATTCCTCTATGGCAGGCAAAAACTCAATGAATAGGAAAGATTTCATTCTGCTCTAGTACAAAACTTAAGACATTTAATCCTCCTGAAAGTTGTAAGTCCATAGATTTTCAAAATTCCCAAGATGAGAATTTACTCCCTTTAATAACTAATTCCAAGAGTTTAATAAGCACAGTAAAAAATGAAAAAACAAACAAACAAAAAGCAAACCCCTGTAAATTCTGTGAGGCTTAAAAGCTTGAGTTTAGAATGAGCAAAGGTTTAGGTTTTTAATCCTCAATAATTAAATCAGATGGTCCACAAATAAAGCTTCACCTTGAATTTTCCAGGATCAGAACACTAAAGTACTAGTGCTAAATTTCAGCAGACTAAAGAGTCATTTTTGAAAGGAATTTGACAGAGTATCAGTGTCCAACCGGTAAATGGACAACCTAGATAACAGATAAAATACAATGAAATAAGATCCCCTGAATAAATACTTGACACTTAATATGTAAACAAAGCCCTTACAATGAAGGGGTTTAATTCTGTAAAATATCAGTGTTCTATTCCTTTCCATTTGTTAAATTTACCCACTGTAGAAAATATATACTGAATATAAAGTGACAGAAACTTATGTTGGAACATATCAAAACATATGACAGAAACATATCAAAACATGCCTGGCACAGTATAAATTACTCAATAAATATTTGTTGCACGAATAAACTTCTAGATCTAAAGCTGTAGTAAGCAAATGTCAACTCTGTGTCCTGAAGTAGCAAAGAAAGGAAGGCAAGCTTTCTGAGTAATGATGCATAAAGCTCAATTTGATAATTGTTATCTAGTGGTATATTCTTAATTTACAGTTTTAAATTTAGTATTTTCTGGGAGAAGTAAAAAAGATACAAAACCAAAACCATCCAGATCAGATGAGAGTCAGGTGTGGAGAGATTTTCAATCCCATTAATTTGAACACATTATGATTGCCAAACATTAAGTATCATAAGCTCATCAGTGCTATTTTTAAGGCTCAGTAAAATAGAAAACTAAACACTTTTAAGTTATGCTGACCATAACAGCTTATATTGTCTAAAATAACTATGCACACAAAAGGTACTCAAGAAATGTCATCTGACAATTTCAAACAAACTTTGTGAATTGTTCCTTAAAAGTTCTTTTCTCTTATATTGTTCAAATGTTCCTTAATTTTATATGGCCACCTTCACCAAGTGAAAGTGCTAAAAATAAATGTCAATTTTAAAACATTTGCTAGGCAGATATGCTGAAAAAGATCCAAGTGCTTTAAAGTATACCACTGAATTTCTAAGTGAGATACTTAATAAAAAAGAGACCAAAATAACAAAACTTCACATTAAGCCTCTTCACATTATGTGAGATAATACATAACAAATTATAATTTAGCATCCCTGATCAGAATAATTAAGAAAAGAGGTAGAAAACTTTTATCTGGAAGATCTTGTAGTGAAGCTAAGTTTTAGAGGGTGTGCCTTGCGGATTAGTCCACTAAGCAAATGGCTACACATCTAGTACTAGGAAGAAGCAGAATTCTGAGAAAGCTGCATAAGGCAAGGATTTACAATTTTTTCTATTTTGGAAGTGAAACTAGTTCATTCAACAGTATTACTCCAATTGCTTTAAAACTTCAAAAATCAAAGTAAAAGATTGCAGATAAGCAAAGTGCTAATTTGCAGAAATGTGAAATTATTTAAAATAACTTTAGTGGAGGGATAAGGCTAGCACAAAAGCAAACACTCTTTAGGTGTGCAAAAAATCTTACAAAAACCAACCCAAAGCAGAGCATTATTACTTGAAAAAAATTTTTTGGAGGAAGTGCTCTTAACAAAAAGCTGAGAAAATTAAATTCCCCCCGATAAACTTTACGCAAATGAAGAAAAAACTGAGGACTCGAATTTCAAGGAATTTCAATTAAAAAAGTACCCTGCTTAACTTTAAAATGTTATCCAATGTGACAAAGACCAATACATGAATTGCATTAAAACACGAGGCCAACGGTCTTTTAAAGCTTCAGGAAGCTGCTCAGGCACCTATTCCCTCATACATTCTACGTTTTATATGCTAGAGATCTTAAACAGGGCACAATCAGTTCCTGTTTTGTGATAACATTCTCAAGGATGAGACTCATCCCTGTAAAAATTGCTTGTGATGTACTTATCAGTGGTTAAGCACACATTTATAATGTCTACCAAATTGCAATATAAAATCAGTTTGGACAATTCTGAGTATCTTCATTTGATGAATCAATTCATAATTTAGAAACTTAACTCATTCAGAGTTTTTAAAAAGACTCAGTTACTGGAGACACTGTGGTAAATGTCCAGTGGACTCACAGGAGGCCTTCCACATTACCCAAAATGTGATGCTTTCTTCTACAAGTTAAAGCTGCTGGGTGCTAGTTTATAATACTCAATCTCAATCGTATGCCCAGTGGACTCACAGGAGGCCTTCCACATTACCCAAAATGTGATGCTTTCTTCTACAAGTTAAAGCTGCTGGGTGCTAGTTTATAATACTCAATCTCAACCTTCAGGTCAGTGTCAGTAGGTGGCAAGGATCACCTATTCTGTCACTCCAGCAGAAAGAGGCATGTATGTACAGTTTACCACTGTAGACACACATCTGTAAACTTGCACACTAATTTTAATCTTAACAAGGAATTTCAGTGTCTTAGTGGTTTTAAGTTAAAAGGATGGTTCAAGCATTGTATCCTTTGTTCTTTAGGGTTACCATAGCTTATTGGAAAACCCAGAGCCTTCTGGATGTGTGAGGTAGTAGGCTTCAACCCTCATTCATGCATAGGTCACACTTCTCCAAAGTTGGTATGGCCTGTCTCCTTGGCATGTTCCCTTGCTTCTGCTTGTCCAGTTAATCCTTTCTGACATACCATGCATCTCAGGGTGAAGCGGTTGACATCAGTAAACTGTCTCCTTCTTCTAGCTTCATCTGCTAATTCCAGTGCTTGTACAAGAACAATATCATCATTAGAGGAGAAAATGGTCAGAGGAGGTGTATCTGGATCAGGGAAGTTACGCTGAAGTGGATCATAGTGGATGCCATCATAAATAAGCAGAACCCTTTTGGTATATCCTGCATCTTCCCCAAAACGATCAATTCTTACTGTCTGTGTATCCACTACACATATTTCACATTGGTAAAACTTGGACAAAATCGATATCTCTATTGCTCCTCCCCAAGTGTCATCCCTTTTGATCCAGTCACAGTACTCTTGATTTGTTTTTCCCAGTATTGCCTCACTATAGAAGTCTGGATCGCTTGCTACAATTTGTGCTATGAGGCGTCTCATCTCAGGGGCACAAGCTGGATTCAAGACTCCTCCTTCGACGACATAGTACACACTAGTAAAGAGGCAAGAGTTGTCTGCTGGGACCACGGTTCTGGTAAGCACAGGCAAAGTTTCCCTGACGTAACTAGAAGCACCACGTTTAGTAAATGCAGGTGAACTTCTGGGCCTGGTTTGGTCTTCTTCAATGATCAGCATGTCACCTGTTAAAAATAAAACAAATCCCGATCTGCAAAGAAATTACAGAAGAAACCGAGTGTTCTCTAGCCAAGTCTGTAAATTACAAACTGAAGGAGTTAAAGCATAAACTGGGGTTACTAAGGAGAATACAGTTTTGCAAGTAAGTTACCAGTAAGAATCTTTGTTCACTGAATTTTCATAAAGATGAAAAAAGAACAAAAAACACTTGAGGTTGCATCCCAATTTAGTGAAGGGGTCTGGAGTAAACAACTTCAAGCTTACCTAAAAAGATACATTTCAAAAACAAAATTTCCTTTCCTTATACAGTATTTTACAGAAGGTGCTCACTACAGAGTAGGCCGCTAGGGGGTTCTCCTTCTCCGGAAACTTATCTACTCTAGAGTGTTTACAACATCCTTGATACAGCAACTGAAAGCTTTTAATTATAAACACTGATGTTCAAGTTTTGATATGGCACAGAAATAACTGCTGCTGGTTAGAAATTGAAAGAGCTTTCAGTGGGTGTTTTAAAAGCTAACTCGAAAATGAGTATGCCTGTCAAACGAAGTATCTACGAAGGGGACTGCAAAAATGAATCAAGAAAAAAAAAATCCTGCACCCTTGAGATCTCATCGGTGATATAGGGAAAAAGAGACATAAGGACAGAGAAAATAGGCCCTACTTTATATTTTTGTGGACGCCGAGGGAAAACAAAATGGGATAGTTTCAAAGCCGACCAGAAAGCGGAATGGGGAAGGGGGTCTTCAAGGCTTTGGGTTCCCTTTCAACCCTGTGTCAAGACAAGGAGTTGCTAGACACTTGCCCTGGCCCCCGTCAGCATTCTCTGTTCTTTGATCTATCCTCGCCCCTGGCCTCAAAGCCCCCCCGCCGACTCACAGCCACCTTGCCTTGACTGGTGTTTTGTTCTCTCTCACGCCCCTCTCCATCCTCCCGGGACTTTCCCTGGCCCCAGCCCTGATTCCTTACCAGATTGGATGGGCAAGTCTTCCAGAATGGTATCCCCATTGCTGAGATCCAGGCACTCGGGAGGGTATCCGACGAGGATTCGCTGACCGCCGGGGGCGATCCCGGTGATGGCGGCAATTTGGCCCTGGAGTTCCCGCACCCGGGTCCGGCTGGACAGCCCCTGCAAAACATGGGTGCCGTCCTTGGCCTTGCAGCGGAGCCGCCACATCGTGTCGGTCCGGCTGCCCACAGGCCAGGCACCCGCGGGGCCAGCTTTGGTCCCGGCAGCCTGTTGGGAGACGCCGCCGGGGAAACCAGGCGCCGGGTGGACTCCAAAATGGCGACCTTTAGCGGGGCCAAACATCGCGAGAAGTTGCGGGTGGTTGCAGTTATCGCGACGCTTCGGTGCGGCTTCTGCCTTAGTACCTTAGCAAGCGCGAACTCTTTTAAAGTGACAACTGATTTTTCCCCCACCCTCAGAACGAAGATGTAAACCTCCGTATTCCTAAAGGACAACGGGTCTTGCTACCTATAGAGCGAGTGAGGTGCCCTCCGCGTGGGTAGCATATATGCTCAAGAAAAGAGGGCGGGGGAAGGAGTTCCTGAATGAAGGTCTGGAGATTGGAATGTGACCTTGCACTTAGTGAGGTCGGAAATTATTAAATTGGGGCTTCCACACTACACCCAGACTACACCAGGAGAAACAGAATCATAGTTCACAACGCAAACGAATGCCAGGAATGGTCAGTGAGTCAAAGGACCAGTCAAAAACAATCACACTTGTGACTAGACTCGTGGCTGCATTAAACATTGACTCATTGGGGTTCCAGGGGCCAAAAGACTGGCCTTTCTGCCTCCCTGGGACTGTGCTTGAAAACGTCTATTTGCCACTTCAGAAAGCACAGTATGAGGTCAGCATCTGGGCCCAGGGCAGCTGCCTCATTCAGGTGGTGGCAGTGTAAGGAGGAGTCGTGTAACGCGTGTCATCAGATTCCAGTTCAGTTCCTGGGCATACAAATATGAAGACTTCATTCCTGCCTTCATTGTAACAAGTATTCATTGCAGTTGGGAGACAGGGTGGGGTGTGAGACACACAGCCACTGAATTTCAAAGCAACGTGATAATGCTAGATTATCTGTACCTTTTCAAACGTGTATGCCTAGAACCCAGGACTGTGCCTCGCAAATAAAAAGTGTTCAACAAATACTGGCTGAATGAATAAAGACAGAGTTGTATAGACATAGAGAGGGCAACTAGAGCACTCTGGGAGTTGTAAAAAGCCTTAAAGAGGAGATAACTGTTTGAACTTTTGGAAGAATTAGTTTAATTCCCAGGCGAAGGAGGAATAAAGACATCCCTGAATTTATATCTCTCTTTTCCAAGAAATCCATACTCATTGTTCTTTATCCAGCCGGGATTCAGACAGCAAGTCCCACTTGCCAAGAGTGGGTTTATCAAGCATCAAACGGGCCCGCTGGGGCAACTATGAAAAGTGTAGTTCACTTGGTGCAAACTCACCTCCACTGTAAAAGACTTTGCTTCTGAATAAATTATATGTAATGTTTCCATCTTTTCACATCTTTCATGACTCAATTTTTTTTTGCTGGTGCAATTTTCCTCCTTGGTTCTTCAAGACGACTGCAACGGATGATACAGCCTGGGTTAGGGGGTAGGTAGGAGGGAAGGTAGGAGTGGTTAGAAGTCCACCGGGGTGGCCGGGCGCAGTGGCTCACACCTGTAATCCCAGCACTTTGGGAGGCCGAGGCGGGTGAATCACCCGAGGTCAGAAGTTCGAGACCAGCCTCATCAATATGGAGAAACCCCGTCTCTACTAAAAATACAAAATTAGCTGGGCGTGGTGGTCCATGCCTTTAATTCTAGATACTGGGAGGCAGGAGAATCGCTTGAACACGGGAGGCAAAAGTTGCGGTGCCAAGGTCGTGCCATTGCACTCCAGCCTGGGCAACAAGAGCAAAACTCCATCTCAAAAAACAAAAACCAAACCAAACCAAAACAAAAAAAACTCCAATGGGGTGTATGGGTGGGTCCAGGGAAGCTTCTGGTTCAACGATGAGAGTGGTTGATTTTCTTAGGTCACAGCGTCTGACCTGTGGAGCCGGGTATGTATACACCCTAAGGCATAATTAGCTCAAGTGTTGTGGTAGTTTATTCTAGCAAAAACATCTTTAAAGCTTACGTTCCCATTTATGGATCTAATGAGGTTCTGCTGGGATTCAGGAATGAGAGCGTTAATCTTTGCAGCATTTTCTCGTCACCCGGCACACCCGCTCTCAAGACGCCTACCGAATAGTCTACTCTCGCGAGAGTCAGAAAAAAGTCAAGCTTTTTATTAACACCGCCCCCAGCCCTATTAGTTACCAAGCAACAGTGCCACCAGGCTCCTCGGCGCTGGGAAACTCAGGAGCTTGTGATCTCTCTGGTTCCGACTTCCAGCCGCCTTCCCGAGCCAGTTAGGCGATTGCGACCCTGCCCCGCCCCCTGGGTCCTGCAGGCGCCCGATTGGTGGATGATTCTCTCCAGGTGAGGACCTACGCGCGAGGGGGCGGGGCCAGACGGGCTCACATGATTTGCCGGCGACTGTAGCGCCGGTCCCGGCCACAAGCTGTCGGCTCGGTTCGGTCGCGTTACAGGGCAGGCGCCGGGGCCAAGGCAGGGAGGGATCTTAGGAGAGATCGTAGGGTGAGCCACAGCTGCGCAGCCCCGGGTAGGGTCTAGCGGGGCGGGATGTGGGGGCTGCGTGCCCCCGGATGAAGTGCGGGGAGAGGTGCTGGTCCCCAGGCATGGCAGGCAGCGCGGACGTTCTGGGACCGGGAGCCACAGTCTGTGTTTGGGTTGGAGGATTTGTGTGGTCAGTAAAGGAATCGTGTAAGGCTCTTGAAGGCGCAGGATCTTCCGTCCTCACCAGCCCCCTGTTGTCTGAATTGGGGGCATGAGCTCAGGACTTTCCCACTCCAGTTTGAATCAGGGCTTACCCCTCTTCCTGAGGTGACCTTGGGGAAGTCATTTACCACCTCAGCGCTCCGGCGTTCTTTAGACTGAGTCCCGGGGGTAACTAGGGAGAGGGTGCGGAGCAGGGCTTGAGAATGCACTAGAGGAGAAATGACGACGTGCTAGGGCTGTCTTGGGGTCCAGTTACTGTTTTTCCTTCAGGGAATATGTTCGAGATTTTCCCACGTCCCTCACTTTTTTCTTTTCTTTCTTTCTTTTTCATTTTTCATTTTTTTTTTTTTTTTTTTTGACAGAGTCTCGCTCTGTCGCTAGGCTGGAGTGCAGTGGCGGGATCTTGGCTCACTGCAACCTCCGCCTCCCGGGTTCAAGCGATTCTCCTGCCTCAGCCTCCCGAGTAGCTGGGACTACAGGCGCGCACCACCAGGCCCGGCTAATTTTTGTATTTTTAGTAGAGACGAGGTTTCACCATGTTGGCCAGGATGGTCTCTATCTCTTGACCTCTTGATCCGCCCGCCTCAGCCTCCCCAAGTGTTGGAATTCCAGGAGTGAGCCACCGTGCCCGGCCTCACTGTTTGCAAAACTGAGTCCTACCGTTAGATTGGAGTTAATTTCCTGGTAATGTACTTCGTCTATACATAACCCACCCCACCCCAACTGCTGCCACTACTCTGCCCAGATTCTTAAAACTAGAATCTGAGGTCATGAAACCTTGAGCAGGACACTTAATTCGATGAATCTCAAATTTTCAATCTGTAAAATGAGAAGAAATAATGGTGGCAAAATCTGCCTAATTACAAGATTATTGTTAGGACTGAAGAAGATAACGTCTGTAAATGTAGACTCGTAAGTCAGAAGATAAATGTAAGGTTCTAGTGCAACTCTTTTTATAGGTGAGGAAACAGAGGGCTAGAGAAGTAGCTGCTAACTGGGAGAAACAGGACTGAACCTGCCTCTTGGCCCAGGGTGTTTTTACTTATACCACACGGATCCAATGCACTGACTTTTTTTAAGTTATGTCTTCTTTCTTCCCCTTCCCTTTTTTACATTCTACTTCTCTGTTTCAGACATCTGAAGAGCTGCCATGTCTGGGGCATCTTCCTCAGAACAGAACAACAACAGCTATGAAACCAAAACCCCAAATCTTCGAATGTCAGAGAAGAAATGTTGTGAGTTCTGGCAGAGAGGAGGGACTGCTCTCTCTCAGCATTTTATCTTGGGAATATAGTTATAATCCTGGACTCTGCTGCTTGGTGGGAGTGATAAATAATTATTTGACATGGAAATTTAATGCAAAGTCTCCAGGGTAGAATGTCCTGTCTAAAACAAGTAGACTTAGTGAAATGTCTGTTCTTGGGGCTTGACTACTGGTGTAGTCCAGCAGTTTCTTACTGCTTTCTTAAACTGAATCTCTGTCTCCTGGGATGTTTGCACACTGGCTTGCTGATGGAAGTTAGAACTAACATTATTGTACACACAATGAGTAAGGCACAGTTGCAGGTGCAGGAATTACTTGGAGCTGGTAATGTTACCAGCTTTATCTGTTGGGCTAAGTTTTGGGAGAGTGCTGCTCATTGTAGAAATTGCAGATGGGAGCCAGTGCTGCTTGGTTTCCTTCCTACAGGCCTGAGGGGAATGAGCCCTGACACTTGGCTTCTCACAGTGTCTTGGGCATCTTACTTTCTCACAGGTTTAGCCTTTGTACTTTGTAAACTATTTTCCCTATAGGTTCATTTTTTTGAGGACAGCTTTCACATGAGCATTTTCATTTCTATGCCTGTCTTTTAGATAGAAACAGCAGGAGGGTTTGCGAGGAGATGAAGCATCATTTCCTGTCCCCAAGCATCTGTATTTCTAAGCATCATAGGCTGCATAGCTTCCCAAAAGATCTGGGACTCTGTTCCCCACATATTTTGGGGAACTTCAAGGAATGCTAACTCTTGCCTCTGCTTCTGGATGGCACCATTCCTGCAGAATCCTGTCAGTCAGTTCTTCTCACTTCAGTGGTTATATATATATATATATATATAGCCAGTTAGTCAAGGAATATATATATCTCAGCAGGTGGAAACAGCCGACCAGCATGAGACCAGGAATTATCTCATGTTCAAAGCTTTTCCCAGAGCCTCGACCTTGATGTCATGCCCTTGTCAGTTTCATGATTGACAATGATAATCTCTCTTCACCTAGCACCCATGGAGCCTGCTGGACAGAAGCAGCTGGCTGGATGTGATACTGGGGTTGGCAGAGTTAGGGTCTACAATTAGGGTCTCTTTTCTCTGCCAGGGCAAGAAGCCAGGTGCTAAGGGCAGAATACCCCATGAGAGATAACTAGTATAGCATGATGTTTGAGTATAGCCTCTGGAGTCAGACTGCCTGAGTTTGAATCCCGGGTTTATGACTTCTTAGCTCTTGAACAAGTTGCTTGTTCTCTCCATGCCTCAGTTTACTCCTTTTAAAAGTGGGAATACTAACAGTGTCTCCCCCAAGAGTGATGTGAGGATTAAATGACTAAATGTAGGAAGGCGCTTAGAAGAGTGTTGGGCATATATCTAATGTGTGTTATTTTTCACAGGTGACTCAATCTGCCTGTTGTATTTATTCCTGAAATGTTTATATTGAATCATACTCAAATGCTGTATTGGAAGCTCACTATTTAAAAGAGGGCTGTGAATAATTATTTTTTCAGTAAAAAATGTTTTCTTCTCTTATTTGACAATATTGTAACCCAGATTTGGGGATCTAGGATGCACCTCTTACAGGGAGGTACACTAATGTTACTAGGGTGCTTGATCCAAAAGAGAGCTGGGGCTGGGGGGCAGGATCGATAATTGTGGGAGTCTCTGACTACACGATGCCATGTGTCAGTCCTTCTAGCTTTGCTTTTTTCTCCATGGTAGGAATCTCTTCTACCTGCTTTCCTAACTCTTCTGTAGTTCCTTTGCCTTGAGGGCTTTCAAGTCAGGGAAGCAGTAATCCCTGGTTTCTTTCCTGTCTTCTAGACTCTAATTCCTGCTCTGGGCTCTAATCTCTTTTTTTCCATACTCTAGTTTCTCTAAATGCCTTTTTCTTCTCTAAGAAGAAGAAGGTGTCCTAAAGCCACTGTGATTTATTTACCCTATTCTCTCCTCACGTCACAGTCGGGCTGTGAGACTGTTGCAGACATAGTCAAAGGAGAAAATAAAGTTATGAGTATATGTGTTAACTTACTTCCTTTTCCTCTGCTATAGAGCTGTACTTTGGAGCTGGTTCACCTGGCAGCTTAGTGTTCACATCAGCGGCTGCTTTATTAATAGCTTAACCGTTGTTCCCTTGCTGCTCATTACACCTGTGTTGGCTAACTTTGACTCCGGGAAGTGACTGGGCTTGAGGATTTCAGGGCTGAAGAATGACTTTAGGGAGCCAAAACCTCCGAAGGAGCATTACTGGGACTTCAACTGCTCCAGGGATGGGGCGAAGAGGGGCTACTGGCCGAGGTGCCTTTACGGTGCTCAGAGGACTGGTTTCAGGGCTTATGAAAGCAGAAATGGAGGGCCGGGTGTGGTGGCTCACGCCTGTAATCCCAGCACTTTGGGAGGCCGAGGAGGGTGGATCATGAGGTCAGGAGATCAAGACCATCCTGGCTAACATGGTGAAACCCCGTCTCTACTAAAAATACAAAAAAACTACAAAAAAAAAAAAAAAAAAAAAAAAAACTAGCCGGGCATGGTGGCGGGCGCCTGTAGTCCCAGCTACTCGGGAAGCTGAGGCAGGAGAATGGCTTGAACCCGGGAGGCGGAGCTTGCAGTGAGCCGAGATCGCGCCACTGCACTACAGCCTGGGTGACAAAGTGAGACTCCATCTCAGGGGGAAAAAAAAAAAGCAGAAATGGAGAAATCTACATGCTTTTTTTTTTTCTTTTTAATTTTTTTTTTTGAGTAGTTCTGGAACAGACAAATTCTTCCATGTACCTTTCCCTAAATACAAAAGCAATGTATGTTCATAAAAAATTCAAACTACAGAAAGGATTTAGAAAGCGAAAAGTAAAAGACTCCTGTTTCTTCCAAATTTGATTCTTTTAGACATCTTATTCTGGTATATCCTATTAATAAAGGTAGGTTCATATTGTTCATATTCTGTTCAGCTGCCATTTCCTTTTTTATTTTTTTAAATAAGTTACTGTCTTGTGGACATCCTTTTAATGTTGATAAATGCAGATTTACCTCATTCTGCATTGTATGGATATGCCAGCTTTCCACGGATAGGTATTTAAATTGTTTCCAGTTTTTCATCATCACAAAGAGTGCTGCAGTGACCATTCTTACACGTACACCTTTGCACATTTGTGACAGCAACTTTTCCTACAGAAATAATAGAAAAGATAGACACATTGGAAATGTTCATCAGTATTACTAATTTGCTCTCCTAAGAAGTTCTATATTGTAAGCTGTTTTCAATATTTTAAGATATTTGATGGAAATTGGGCAGCATCAACTATAGCCATAGTGGTTAACTGAAACATCAGCTTTCTTAGTGTTTGACCGTAGTTATACGAACTTGGTTATTTCATGCCTGTCAACTGGCAGGAGATAATCAGCAGTTCTGACTTCTGATGAATAAAGATAAAATGTCACTAATGAAACATGCTTTATGGGCAGCATATTTCTAAATATTAGGCCTCTTTAGAGCCAATAAAAGAAGACGTCCTGGGTCCTGAAAAGGCTGGGAACCATTGCTCTCCTAGACCATCCTTCAGGATTAGAATGGAGAGCAAGTTGTGTTTACCGTGAGGGAACCTTTGTCAAGTGCTGACATGAGGCACAGGAGCTGGCAGCTGGGACTGAATGGGCAGTCATGAGATCAGGAGACTGGTCAGAACCCTGACCTTGACTGTCTATTGTGGGACCATGGGCAAAGCTCTTAATTTCTCCAGGCTTGAGTTTTTCCATTTACACGAGGGAAGTTATCAAGTCCTCATTTTTTTTGTAAATCTTTTTTTTAAAATACATTTATTTATTTATTTTGAGACCGGGTTATGAGACTGGCTAATTTTTATATTTTTAGTAGAGATAGTGTTTCACCATGTTGCCAAGGCTGGTCTCAAACTCCTGGGTTCAGGCGATCCACCCAACTTGGCCTCCCAAAGTGAGGATTACAGGCATAAGCCACTGCGCCCAGCCTCAAGTCTTCATTTTATCTAAGCAAGTTTATGAAAGGAAAATGAGTTTAAGTTTAAGAAAAGGAGTTGAACCTGGCTTAAAGAAGGTGGAAGAGAATTTCAGGATTGAAACAGTTTTCCATTGTCTATCAAGAGATGGGTTACATTGTCTCTGAAATTAATCAGGTGGCAGTGGCAGGTGGTTTTGTTTTTTAACAGGCAGGACAGAATGTTCCTACTTTTGCCAGTGTGGTAATTTGAGATAGGAAGTGTGGTTTAGTTTTGTACTCCAGAAAATGAGAAGCCCTGGTTGTAGCAGGTGTGCTTAAGTGTATTCTGGACAGAGGCGAGAGGTGCGTTGCTGGAGGGCTCTTGGGAGGTCCCAGTGGATGCAGTTTTTTGTTGTTGTTGTTCTTAGCATTCTCTGTCCACATGGGTAAACAAGAGCAGCTGGTTCCCTGGTTGCCTTCAGAGCAGCTCCCAAGTATCAGTTCATTTTAAACTTTAGGGAGGGTAATAGGACCTTCGGGGGAAGTGCCTAATGGGCTGGAAGGTGCGGACAAAGCAGGCCTAGAAGTGCAGGTAATGAGCCAAATCATGGGGGATTGAGAGCAGGCATTGAGCCGAGCTGGAGAAAGTGAAGACTCAGGGGATTTTACTACTTAAACCTGAGACAGCTGATCCCATGCAGAGGCTATCTGCTTGTTAGGGGCCAGTGATCAGGGATTAATGCCAGCTGAGGCTTCAGGGTACAGTTTGCTTGCCTTTAAGCTCCCTATTTGAACACAGATGAAAATCACTTATGTTGCTCCTTTACCTACCTTGGAGGGGCTCCTGCTGAGACTCAGGAATTTTCCATGTGTGCAGTGGGTAAAGGACTAAAAGCCAAGCCCTCTGACCCCAGGTCTGGGCCTCCATTTCTCCCTCCTCACCACTAGGGTCACTCTGAGTACTTCTTGCCAAACACCCTTAGGAAACTTTTCCTTCCGAGGGTGGTTCTCTACCTGGGCCCCTCCTCCCACTTCTCCATTGAGATCTTTCTACATTTATTTCTCAAAAAATGAAAGTCATATTTCCCATCCAAGTACCTCCATTTTACAGAACTGTTTCTTAATCTTACAAGGTCCCTTAGTACCAGGCAGAGGGGCAGCCGCAACTTGCAGGGCACCTTCTGGGAAGCAGTGGTGGGAAGTGGGAGGTGAAGGTGTTTCTTCCTTTTTCCCCCATCCTGTGCAGGGCCTTCCCTCATTGGAGCCGGCAGAGCCTGAGCTATCCCAGATGACCTCAGTGTGGTTTTTGGCCCCGGGACAGTGGCTGGCAGCAGTTCAGGTCCTTCTCCCACCTCTCCTCTGCAGCAAGATGGGCCGGGAGGAGCCAGCCCCTGTGAGCAAAGTGATGAGGAACCTCTTTTTATGGAGAAAAGCTGCAAGGAAGCACAAGATCTGTGTTCTAGTGCCAGCTGTACCCTTGACTCATTATGTGTCCCTAGACAAGTCACCTGTCCCCTGAACATGTAGTTTGCCCTGCCTGTCCAGTGAGACTTATCTCTGCAAATGAGCATTCCTGAAGTAAGTTAATTTACTAAGGAAGGGTAGACTGAGGACTGTTAATGCTTCTCAATTGTCTTGCTTTTACGTGGGCCATGGTGGCAGATTGGCCCTGATGCCCTTTGTGGGCTGGCTCTACCCTGAAGCTTCCTGAGGTCTATTCAGAATGTGTATCAAGTAAGCTTTGCCAACTCAATCTCACTATGGTTTAGAAATTCTGGCTTAAAGAGGAGCTCATGACCTGAGTGAAAAGGCCAAAACAGCTTGAGGCAGGGCTTTTTGCAGTGGGCAAGCTAATTCTTGCCCATGGTTCTGAAGGGATGAGTGGGATCCTGGAGACAGAAACTCTGTTGGACCTATTATAGGAGCCAGCTCAGTTCTGCACTGGTAGAATCTCCAAGCATTAGACCTTCCTTCACAGCTCTGTCATTTTTATATTTCTAGGCATTCTTATGTTAAGGATGATGTCATTGTTACTTTTCTTTCTTTCTTTCTTTTTTTGAGACGAAGTCTTGCTCTGTCGCCCAGGCTGGAGTGCAGTGACGGGATCATGGCTCACTGCAACCTTGAACTCCTGAGCTCAAGCAATCCTCCTGAGTAGCTGGGACTATAGGTGCACACTCCCACATCTGGCTAAGTTAAATATATATATCTATATATCTATATATCTATATATATCTATATCTTAAATATTATATATTTAAGATATATATAAATATCTTAAATATATATATTTTATATATATCTTTATATATATCTTTATATATCTTTATATATATCTTTATATATATCTATATATCTTTATATATATCTTTATATATATCTTTATATATATTTATATATATCTTTATATATATATATATATATATATATATATATATATATTTTAAGAGACAAGGGTCTCTCTATGTTGCCCAGGCTTATCTTGAACTCCTGGCCTCAAGTGATCCTCCCACCTCATTCTCCCAAATTGATGGGATTACAGGCATGAGCTGTCATGTCTGGCTGCAGCATGGTTATTTTCTTTCTTAGCCTTGCTACTTTTTTCCTCTTTCCACCTTGGGTACTGCAGTGAAGACCTCAGACATGTGGGAAAGACGTATCTTGGTTTGGGCATTTTCTGGAAGCCTGCATAACCTTTTAACTCTATTTCAGGAGGCCTGCCTGATATCTCCTTATTTGTCTTCCCAGACTTGCTGAACCTTTGCTCCACAGGTTTATGAAGATAAAATGAGATTATGACTATGAAGTTCGTAGCTCAGTGTATAAACCTTACTAGACCCCAGCGGGGCTGGGCGCCTCACGCCTGTAATCCCAGCACTTTGGGAGGCTGAGGTGGGTGGATCATGAGGTCAAGAAATTGAGACCATCCTGGCCAACATGGTGAAACCCCATCTCTACTGAAAATACAAAAATTAGCTGGGCATGGTGGAGGGCGCCTGTAGTCCCAGGTATTCGGAAGGCTGAGGCGGGAGAATCACTTGAACCTGGGAGGCGGAGGTTGCAATGAGCTGAGATCACGCCACTGTACTCCAGCCTGGTGACAGAGTGAGACTCCGTCTCAAAAAAACAAACACCAAAAAACCTTACTAGGACTCTAGTCATTTCGTTTTATTTTGTTTCATTTCCTTCTAGCATGGGCCTCCTACATGACCAACTCCCCGACTCTGATCGTTATGATTGGTTTGCCAGCCCGGGGTAAAACCTACGTGTCCAAGAAACTAACACGCTACCTCAACTGGATTGGAGTCCCCACCAAAGGTAAGTGTGGCTCATTCCCTAGGAAAGACAATTATTAGTTCCTGGGCCTCACAGGTCTCTGGGAGACTTATTCTTCCTGGCATCAATGCTATAGGGTGCTTTTGGCAGAAATAGCAGTTGCTTTCTGGTTTACTGGAGTTATTCTCTATTCCCAGACTTGTCTCCTCCTGGCGTGGGTGGATTGGCCTAGTTTTGAGGGAATGCCTTTGATAGGACTGTTAAGATTTAGATGAGCATAGGGCTGTACCTTTTCAGAAGCCTTACATGGACATCATCTTATATAACCCTAGCAGTGTCTCTGTGAAATAGACAGAGTGGCTGAGGAAATTGAAACCTCAGACAGCTTAAGACTTGTCCAAGGTCTAGAAAGTCAGGGCTTGAACCCAACTCTTTTGACTCTTAATCTGATATTGTTCCCAACCTACCATGCTGCCGCTTTTTTCATCCCCTTGGTCACTCCGACATTAGGCCAAGAAACAAGTCCCATTTGGTGGGGCCATCATATTATTTTGCTGCTGAAGGATTTGGGTGTCTTCTACAGTGTTTAATCTTGGGGTGTATCGGCGTGAAGCAGTCAAGTCCTATAAGTCCTACGACTTCTTTCGGCATGACAATGAGGAGGCCATGAAGATCCGCAAGTGAGTCTTGTTTAAGGCCTGATCTCCAGGTCAGCTCTTTCTTGGCCGTCATGAGACTTGGTGTGACAGGGCTTGGTTTCATCTCAGTAAATATCTTAAGGGGAAGTTAAATGGAAGTTATCTGATGGGCAAGTGACCTTGGGCTTGGGTGGTCAGAAGAACAGGGCTCAGGGTGATTGATACCTGTGTGCTTGTAGGAGAAGTCTAAAGAGGGCTAAGATCTGTGCATTGGGGCAGGGGCAGGAAGGGGTTATAGGATGGTGTGAAAACCCTCAGTGAGAAAGTTGAAAGATCTAGTTAGAGAAAGGTTTTGAACAGTGGGAAACTAAGTGGGCAGGGATGTGACTTCTGTAGCCACCCGAATGTTTGTGTCTCTGACTGTTTGAGCTTAGCTCTCCTTGCTGGTTTCATTTGCTCTTATGGCAGACAGTGTGCTCTGGTGGCGCTGGAAGATGTTAAGGCGTATCTCACTGAGGAGAATGGTCAGATTGCGGTAAGCTTTATCTGCTGCTTCTTCTTTCTGGTCCCCACCCTTGCAGCAGCCTGGCTACCCAGCCCCACCTTGAGTCTGCCCTGGTGGGGTTCTGTTTCTCTGTTCCTGCTCATTTACCTTGTGTACTTTCTTCACAGGTGTTTGATGCCACCAATACAACCCGGGAGAGGAGGGACATGATTTTGAACTTTGCTGAACAGAATTCCTTCAAGGTAGGATCTGACTCCATGTTGGAGGAAAAGGGATGAGTAGAGGTGGGGAGTCAGGCTACAGGCATGGATCTCTCACTCTAGTGGGTGAGGACAGGATGGGATATCTGAATCTCTTCTCTCAGAGCATTCCCCCAGTCCTTGAGTGTTTTCATTCAGGTCCTTTCTCAGACTGTTAGCCTGTATGTTTGAGGCCCAGGGGCTGTGGTAAGAGCTATGAGGAGGACTTGAGGGCCACTTTCATGAAGAAAATCCTGGGAGATGTGGTGGCTGGGTGGGGTAGATGAGCATGTGCTCTTAATTAACAGCCTGGCATTTTTGACTTGCTTATCACTGCCTTCTCTCCATGGCCAGGTATTCTTTGTGGAATCCGTCTGTGATGATCCTGATGTCATTGCTGCCAATATTCTGGTTGGTGACACCCCTACATATCATCTCCTCTTCACCTTTTGTGCTGTGTGTGTTGTGGGGTGTGTGTGTGTGTGTGTGTGTGTGTGTTGTTGGGGAGGGGTGTTTTCGTAATGAAAGAGAGAAATAGACATGTTTAACATCACAAAGAGATCTTTTCTATCTGCCAGAGCCCCATCTGGTACTTCTACACTCTTCTCTTGGGAGAGGAAACTGAGGCTTTAAGGAATCAAGTAAGAATTAGCTGTTGAATTGAAACCAGGGTTTAGGTTGTAGGATTCTTGGCCCTGTGCTCTAGGTATTATCTGGATGTTGAGACCTAGATGTTGGAATAGATCAGCCGGGCACGGTGGCTCATGCTTGTAGGCTCAGCACTTTGGGAGGCCGAGGCAAGTGGATTGCTTGAACCCAGAAGGATCACCTTAGCCTGGGAGGTTGAGGCCACAGTGAGCCGTGATTGTGCCACTGCAGTCCAGTCTTGGTGACAGAGTGAGAACATGTCCAGGGAGGTTGAGGCTGCAGTGAGCCATGATTGTGCCACTGCAGTCCAGTCTTGGTAACAGAGTGAGAACATGTCTCAAAAAAGAAAAAAAAAAAAGAATAGATCAGACTCTTCGTTTCAGGACTTACCTACAGGAAGGTTATCTCCCCAGCAATTGTCCAAAGTTCTCGTCAGTGTTCTATACATTGAGCTCCTTATTCCCTGTGGGGTCACAATGTAAGCCAGTCCCCATTGGATGGGTTGTGCTCTGCTGGACCGAGTAGATATCTGAACATGGTCTTATGCAGGTGCTCTCCCAGCCGTAGGAACTTGGGATCATCTGAGGAAGAGCCATCTGGTCCCAAGTCAGGCACTGGGGTCATGCACCCTATTCTGAGTGGTAATAGGGAAACATTGGAGCCTGTTCTGTTTTCTCAGGAAAGTACATAAAGGGATTGGGGCCCAGGAGCAGCTTTGGCTGCGTGACTGCCTCTGTCCTTCAGCCAAGTGCAGGCACATGACTCCCCAGTTGTCTTAACTTTTTTGGTTGCCAGGGTCACAGGACGGGGCGGGGCGGGGCGGGGGGTACTCAATGAGTGGAGTGCCAATGTTCCAGTGAAAGGCGACATTTATGGACTTCTTTTTCTTTTTTTTAGCAGTGGCTATTTGTAGGAGGACTGTTACGGGCAGACCTCTGATGAGGCCTTTACTGGTTCCTATGATTTCAGGAGGTTAAGGTATCAAGCCCTGACTATCCTGAAAGGAACAGAGAGAACGTGATGGAGGACTTCCTGAAGAGAATTGAATGCTACAAAGTTACCTACCGACCTCTTGACCCAGACAACTATGACAAGTAAGGTTTAAGGCCATGGTTTGAAGGGCCCAAGGCAAAGGTCTCATCTGGGAAAATAACCTTTCTCCCTGAGTTCTCTAACTTCCTTCTGATAATCTAGATCTACAGTGTTAACATCATCCCAGAGAAATAAGGTATGGATTTGTGGCTTTTATGTGGATTGCATCTTGTACATGAAAAATTGAAGTGGTTGGTTTTGTTTTGTTTTGAGACAGGGTCTCACTCTGTCACCCAGGCTGGAGTGCAGTGGCAAAATCAGGGCCCACTGCAACTGCTGCCCCCGGGGCTCAGGTGATCCTCCCACCTCAGCCTCCTGAGTAGCTGGGACCACAGGTGTGCGCCACCATGCCCGGCTATTTTTTTTTTTTTTTAGTAAAGATAGAGTTTCCCCATGTTGGCCAGGCTGGTCTTGAACTCCTGAGCTCAAGTAATCCACCCGCCTCGGCCTCCCAAAGTGCTGGGATTACAGGTATGAGTCACTGCGCCTGGCTGGAAGTGTTTTTTATCATCAATTTTTTCTCTCCAGTCTCTAGAGCATGATTTCCTCAATCTCAGTATTATTGGCACTTTGAACTGGGTAATTCTTTGTTGTAGGACCTGTCCTGTGCATTGTAGGATGTTCAGCAGCTTCCCTGGGCTTTGCCCACTAGATGCCAGTAACACCTCCAACCTGTGACAACCAAAATGTCTCCAGACATGTCAGAGGTTCCCCGGGGGGCACAGTTATCCCTGGTTGAGAATCACTGCTCCATATCTGAATGGGGGTGTTGTAGGATACCCTTTGGAGATGTGTCATCAGTTTTTAAAGTTTATATATATTATATGATATTTTACATATATTAATGCTTGTGTGTATATCATGCATATTATAGCATAACATATATATTACATATTGCATATTTTTATATCTATCTCTCTCTATATATAACATGCAAAGCCCTCAAGAACATGCCTGACTCAGAGAAATGTCTGATCAATGCCAGCTGTTGTTACTATGGAAGCATTTGTTGGCAGTATGGTGTAGACTATAGATTAACTTGTCATGTGTGAGGTATATGAGCCATAACAAAACCAAGTCTATGTTGAAGAAAGATGGTGTACACATGGAAATCTGCAAGAATGTGGCCTCATGAAAGAGCATGCATTCAGGGCAGTTAACAGCTCTATTCACATAATACAGACCTGCAGCCAAGCAAATGGCACATTTAATGTGCATGGCACACTTAATACAGTGGTCTGTTTAATGTTTTGAGCCTTTCAGTTCCTTCAAGTGGGTTTCCCAGAATCCCCTTAATTCAGAGGCTGAAAACCACCTCTAGATATGGCATAAAAGTATTCTTCAGTTGGAACAAAGTCCCACCTAGAAAAACATACAGAAGATCTACATATATATACATGTGTATGTTTGTATATGTTATCTCTGGTAGTAGGGTGATGCGTGATTTGCATCCTTCCATCATTTTTTCTGATTTTTTGATTTAAAATAAGCACTTATGACTTTTTTTTTGAGATGGAGTCTCTCGCTCTTGTTGCCCAGGCTGGAGTGCAGTGGCACGATCTCGGCTCACTGCAACCTCCCCCTTCCTGGGTTCAAGCAATTCTCCTGCCTCAGCCTCCTGAGTAGCTGGGATTACAGGCACCCGCCACCACGCCCGGCTAATTTTTTTATTTTTAGTAGAGATGGGGATTCACCATGTTGGCCAGGCTGTTCTCAAACTCCTGATCTCCTGATCTACCCACCTTGGCCTCCCAAAGTGCTAGGATTACAGGCATGAGCTACCGCATCCAGCCACACTTATGACTTTTATAAAGAGAACAATCTCATGTTGGCCTCAAAGCAAGCAATGTCTGAAAGTGTCTTTGAGAGAAGCATGATTAGGTAGATGCAGGGAGTATATAGACATTTCTGTCTGTGCTTCTGCTGCCTCTTCCCTTCCCCTCGTTGCTCGTCGTGCCATATTCTGGCCAGGTCTTAACTGCCTCAAAAGGGGCCTATTCTTCTCACCAAATTTTGGGCTTAGCAAAATCTTCAGGTCACCTAGTCTAGCCCCTGATGGGAAGGCTGAATTCTGTTTATCCTATTTATCTACATTACTTGTCACACTACAGGCACTGAGGAAATGGTACAAACTTACTAGAAGTTCAGGAAATTGTACTTCATCTTGGTTTTAAGGAGTAATTAATCTCCTACCATTTGGTTCCATAAACGTGGGTGTGACAGAGGAGGGGAGGAAGAGCAGCTGTGAGCCTGCAAGTCCCTGTAGAAATCCTTTTCCCTCTGATTCTTATTCTCAGATCTTCTTACCTAGGGAATTTTTTTTTTCCTTTCCTGTCCCAGGGATCTTTCTTTCATCAAGGTGATAAACGTGGGCCAGCGATTTTTAGTCAACAGAGTCCAGGACTACATCCAGAGCAAGATAGTCTACTACCTCATGAATATCCACGTCCAGCCTCGCACCATTTACCTTTGCCGGCATGGAGAAAGCGAGTTCAATCTCTTGGGGAAGATTGGGGGTGACTCTGGCCTCTCGGTGCGGGGAAAGCAGGTGAGTAATTATTCAGCACACTGGATTTTCTAGGCTTAGAGTTAGAAGGGCATGACTGAGGTCATATATTTTATCTCCTTACTTAAATCCCATTTGGACGTAGGCTGTGGTTTCATAGTCAGGCAAGTGCTCAAGGTGTGTTCTTGCTCACTGCGTCTAGCTCTGTGTTAAAGAGTAGATAACTTTGACCCATTTCTGCTGTGATCATTCAACCATCAGATATTCATTGGGCACAACTTGTGTACTTAGCAATGTACAGGGTGCTCCAGTTAAAGTTCATTTCCTTTTGGGTTTATATTAACTATGTAGCACCTTATGGATTTTGACCATGGTTATGCACGTTGTCCCTTACAGACCAAGTTAGCAGGCTTTGTGTATGTGTGTGTTGAGTGTGTGTGTGTGTGTGTGTGTCTGTGTGTTTTCTTTTTACCCTTAATTTTCATTTTTAAACCCCAGTTTGCCCAAGCTCTAAGGAAATTTCTGGAGGAACAGGAAATAACAGACCTCAAAGTGTGGACAAGCCAGTTGAAGAGGACCATACAGACTGCTGAATCTCTCGGGGTGCCCTATGAGCAGTGGAAGATTCTGAATGAGATTGATGCTGTGAGTAGGAAGCTCTGAAGGCCCAGAAAAGCCAACAAGAGTTCAGGCAGGAACTCTCAGAAGTCACTATTTAGACAGTTTTATCTAGGAAACTACAACCAACAAGTAAAAACTCTGAGGAAGCTGACTCTATGGCCAGCCCGGGGGATCAGGGAGGACAATTGTACCCCTAATCAGGGGTTTCCTGCCTGATTCAGTACCTGTGCCAATCATGGGACCCAAACCAATTTTTGAGCCAGCCTTTCTGGCACCTGGGGAAAGTAGGGCTAACAAGGACTCATTTTGTTCCTTTGTATATTTGCCTCCTGGGAAAAATAAATAGCTAACAACCCACTTCTTTGCTTTCTGCTTAGATCATTTGGTCAGCTATTCAGGAAAAGTTTTTCCCAAAATTTCTCTTGGCTTTCTCTCTTCTTGAGTACAAAAGTAGACATTTCTTTCTTTTTTTTTTTTTGTGACACGGAGTCTCGCTCTGTGGCCCAGGCTGGAGTGCAGTGGCGTGATCCTGGCTCACTGCAACCTCTGCCTCCTGGGTTCAAGCAATTCTCTCCCTCAGCCTCCCGAGTAGCTGGGATTATAGGCACCTGCCACCACGCCTGGCTAATTTTTGTAGTTTTAGGGGAGATGGGGTTTCACCATCTTGGCCAGGCTGGTCTTGAACTCCTGACCTTGTGATCCACCCGCCTTGGCCACCCAAAGTGTTGGGATTACAGGCATGAGCCACCGTGCCCGGCCGACATTTCTTTTTCTTTCCTTCCTTCTACCCTTTTATTTTTCATGCAAGGTCTCCAGTCCCTTCAGTTTCCCTCCTTCTCTGCTTCCTGTTCCTTTTAGCCTCTTGACTTTCTTGACCTGTAAGTTCCCCCCAGTAGTAGGAGAATGTGGTAGCTTGAGCTAGAGAAGTTGCCTCTTTCCGGCAGTGGTCCTCACCCGGTGAGTCACAGACACTCTGTGACACTCTGGTCACAGGCAGCTGCAATACATGAAAGGACCCAGCACAGTGCCTGGCACGTACTAAGAAACTAGCATTCTTCAATGTCATCTTCCTTATTTGGGATGGGGCTGGTGTGGTACAGTCTATCTCTTCAAGCCAGCTTCAAGTGGCTTTTTGCAGGGTGTGTGTGAAGAGATGACCTATGCAGAGATTGAGAAACGGTACCCAGAAGAGTTTGCACTTCGAGATCAAGAGAAGTATCTGTATCGATATCCTGGTGGGGAGGTAAGACGCCCCTGTCATGTAAAGTGACTGCCTAGACCCTTGCTGAGTGTTTAACTTTAATTTGGGGGAAGGATTGAATGTGATTTGGAGGGTCTAGGCATCATTTATCTTCCTTCCCTTGGGTCATTTTGGTTTCATTCAGCTTAGACAATCGAATGCCTCATTAATTGTTAAGATTCCCAGGGATAAGGGTGACAAGGCATCCTCTGTTCAGTATGTTTTAGAATCAACACAATCATTTTTACTTCTTTTTTTCCTTGTACTCTCTCAATCCCACCCCCACATAAGTAAGTGGAGTCACCAAGTAAATATATGGGATAGGAATTATTTCCCTGTCATCTTGAGTGTTTTAGGCTATTTCCTTGTCTAAGTGGCTTCCATACTCTAGGGATGTGTGAGGCAAAAGTAAATAAAACTGAATGGCAGAGGTACAGGAAACCCCTAGGAGTCTCTTGTCTCACTGCCTGTATTAATCTGTGGGAAGAAAAAACACACACACACAGGTTGAACTCACACTTCCTCTTCTTAACCTGTAGTTTTCTTGGTCTAAATATTGCTTTTGAAAGATCTGAGTTTTCTCAAGAGATACCAGGGCTGGGGGCAGTTAGCAGGTGATGTAAACTCACTGAGCCTCCAGGAGGAAAGCCAGCTGAGGAAGAAGAAGTGGCCCTTAGTCTCCAAGGTCCAGCCACTGACTTGGCTGCCAGCTTGCACCTGGGCTCCTGCCAGCCTGCCCCATTTCCCTCCACAGTCATACCAGGACCTGGTGCAGCGGCTGGAGCCTGTCATCATGGAGCTGGAACGTCAGGGCAATGTCCTCGTCATCTCCCACCAGGCTGTCATGCGCTGCCTCCTGGCCTACTTCTTGGATAAGGGCGCAGGTGCCTTTGAGGGAGGGGCTGGGAGACACATCCAGTGGGAGAGGGCTGGACTTGCAGTGGCACCAGGATTCCTGGGAAACAGACCTCCCTGTCTCCACTCAAATTAGAGTACTTTCTCCAGACAGCAGTGTGGGGCTCCCAGCAGCCACTGAGTCAATGACTTGCTGAGTTCACTCTGCTGCTACGAAAGCTTCCAATGGAGAGTGGCTGCTGCTGGTGCTCCTTGATCCTGCCTGGCTCAAGGGCCAGTGTCATGCTGACACTCCTGGCAGCATCAGGACAGTGGTTGAATATTCCCAGCCTGCCACGCTGCCTACTAGGAGGGTGGTATCTTAGGAGCAGCAGTTGTTTCTGGGTAAGGGCAGTAAGAAGGTGCCGTTGCCTTCTTCCATACTTCGCTTCCCGATCTTCGGGAGCTCCTGGGAAGCCTGCATTGTGGATGCTGAGCTCAGCATCCTGAGCTGCTTGGAAGCTGTTGTGGTCAGACCTTATTGGCCTTTGCTGTACCCAGGTGACCCCCTTCCATTGGGCTCTCTGGCTACAATACTTCCTGTTTTTGCCTGCGTGGAAGGATCTAAGATGGCCTTATTTCCTTCCTTAGCCACTCAGAAGGTTGGGTGGCTTTGTGGTCTGGGGTTTAAGGGAGGAGTTGTACAACTCTAAGAGGTGGTCAAAGTAAGGGAAACTCATTATGAGCTCTGTAGATTCTTTCTTCCACTAACTTGACCTTACTCCATAATACTAAGAGACTTCCCTCGCCTGGTCTTTCTGTTTTCAGATGAGCTACCATACTTGAGATGCCCTCTCCATACCATCTTCAAACTTACTCCTGTGGCCTATGGTAACTATGCACATAGGGGCTGGCAGGAGCTGGGAATTGAGGAAGGTCAGAATTTTCTCTGAAGTTTGTCTAGAGTTCAGCTTCATTATCCCTATATACCAGGGAAGCTCCATCAGTGCCTTCTGTTTTGAAAGGGATGTATGCATGACTGTGTGTATTGCAGAATGCGTACATTCCTTTGTGGTATACTTTCCCATAACTAAGGAATTTTCCATTGAACCTTTTTCTTTAAGTCCTCTCTTTCCTCTGTTTTCTCAGGGTGCAAAGTGGAAACAATTAAACTTAACGTGGAGGCTGTGAACACGCACCGTGACAAGCCAACTGTAAGTATTTTCCCACGATGAACACACCAGTTTCCCTGCCACCTTGAGTCTCTGAAGCTTTGACATCAAGAGACTGGGGTTTCTTTTATGTACAAAAGGGAAACAGATTCAGAACTTACGTCCAAATGTAGTTTGCTACGTCTGAAACTGATGTTGGAATTATTTTTTTTTTAAATTAGTACCCCTTTCATGAGTCTTAACCTTGAATGTTGGCTCCTGGAAATCCAATTAAATATGGAAAGTGTTTGGCTGAAGTGAAATGCAAATTACTACCCCCCTCCAACCCCAAGTGTCCCTTTAGAAAGCAGAGTCCAGAGGAGCCTATAAGGTGGGGGTCAAGAGGTGTAGGTTTGTTCCTAGGTCTGTCACTGGTAATCTGTGTGGTCTTCAATAAGCCCCTTCCTTTCTTTGGGTCTTTTTCCTGCTTTGGAATGTTATGCTCAAGGAGCTTCTCCCTTTTAGCCCCCTGATGCTAGGAGGCCAGGCCATGGGCCATGCCCTGTGAGGGACCCTGTGTGCAGAGGAGCAGGAGTGAGGGAAGCTGTTGTGGTTACAAGCGCATTATTAACCTGTATGAGTGAGCTTTTGGCTTGGCTTTCATTTGTGTGGTGTCACTCCATTTCCAATCAGAACAACTTCCCCAAGAACCAAACCCCTGTAAGGATGAGAAGGAACAGCTTTACGCCTCTGTCCAGTTCGAATACAATAAGGCGTCCAAGAAATTACAGTGTTGGGAGCCGGCCCCTCAAGCCCCTCAGCCCTCTCCGTGCCCAGGACATGCAAGAAGGGGCCGACTAGCCGAAGACCCAAGTCAGCATTCCGGTGGTGTAACTGTGTGTTTCCCTCCAGCCCTGGCCTCCTGCCCTTGTCACTAATCACCAAGGAGTCATTAACTTCCTCCCTCTATGCCCACCCCTGACACTTCACCATTAATCTTAACACAGAACATGAGGTTATGTGTTTATAGGACAACTTAAGCTGTTCTTCAGTTTGAAACATCTTTTCACCCAGGGGCAAGTTAGCAAATTGAGTCTTTTAGGACAGATTCTCAGATGGGATGATCTGGAGGAGGAGGAAAAAGATACACTCCCTTGGGGCTGAGCATGCCCCACACTCTTGGATCTTCTCTCTGTTCCCTGGTGTCTTCACTAATGTCCTCATGTTGGTGAAGTGTTGGGGGATGGAGGGCGGGTGAGCAGTCGGGGGACAAAAAGTCTATTTTTCCTTCACTTTTGTCTCTTCAATGTGTGTTTTCCTCACACTCCTTACTTGACTGCTTTCTTCCCCCACTTTCATGTCCCCTCTGGATTGTCCAGTGTAATGCATGGCATTGTGGTGTCTGTCTAGGAAGGAAGGGGTGATTGACAAGAGACAAGTCTGGCCCAGTTAATGCTTTCTGCAGTGGGTCTAAATGGATCTGGACTGGAGGAGTCTTTCCTTTCCTTTCTCCCTTCCTCTCCAGCCAGGTCCTGTAAGGGCCAGCCCAGACTACAGGACATCCACAGAATATTCTGGAGCTTGCAAGTAGACATAGGGTGAGAGTTCTTGCCTCCTTTCATGAGAAACAGTTCTAAGTCTTCGATGCCCTGGGAGAATCTGGCTCTGAGCATGTGGGAAATGTCTTGGTTTTTATTTTTAATTTAGAGTCAGGCCTGGGTCTTTTGAGGTCTGCAGAGTGGGGTTTAGGAGAGTAGGGTGGGCTCTAGCTCTTGCAGGGCTCTTAGAGAGCAGTCATGTCTTTTCTCCCATGACTCTCAGGTTCTTTGCCAATCACAGCAACTTTTCCTGCCAAAGCCAGTATCCTCTGGGGCTGTTTAGAAGGGCAGTTAGATTCAGGAGTCACCACTGATGTTTGAGTTGCTCAAGGCAAGAGGCAGAGAAGAGTTCACTAAAACTGCTTATTTTTGAATAATTTCAGCACACTGTCCTTAAGAAGAAAGAAACATCAAAACAAAATAGTTTTTACATGACCATTTTTTTCCCAAATGTGGAAAAGCTTGATGATGAATTTAATCTCTCTCATTGGAGTATTCTTTTGTTCATAAAGAGAAACTATCTCATCTTGATGTCCAGAGAAGTCCTTGGAACCCTGTGGGATCTAGCTCGTAACTGTTTGTATTTCTCTATTCACTTCTGTCATTTCATTTTCTTTGTAGGGTTAAACAGAAAATGTTTAGGGAAGAAATTCTTAGCCCCTTGATGACCATGATGGCTTATTCTCTTTCCCAATTTTGCATGCAAAATGTACGAATATATGTATGTTTTTCTGAGAGGCAAGTTTAGGGTTCTCATGGGATTTTAAAAAGAGATAGGTGACTCCCCACCTTAAAGTTATCTGCTGGTCTTTTAGAGGTAACCAGTGAGAAGGAGTTAGCTATTTTCCAAGGGTGTTTTCATTTGGTAATGGAAGACTTTTTGCTGTGGTTCTCATCCAGGAGTATTCCTTAGAATTGCCTTTAGGATTGTTGAATCATAAACATGCCTGTGTCCACCTTATGCTTAATACTGACTCAGAATCTCTGGGATCTGGGTCTGGACATGCATGTATTTAAGTAGCTTCCCGGATGATTCTGATTCATAGCTCGGGTTAAGAACTCCACCTTAGGAAGTTAGGTGGAAAAATACTGGATAGTAGTTTCTCAGACAAAAGTGTCAGCCTAGGAATTCTGAATTCCTCATAGTCCTGAAAGGACAGTTCTTTGGGTTTGATGTTTGAGCAGATCATAATGTTAAATGATATAACCCCCTGGAAGGCAGGCTGCTGTGTTTTAGAGGGTTATTCTAGGTTCTAGTCCCATCTTTAACCCTTTACATTGCTGAGTGATGTGGAACAAATCACTGAATTAAATAATTGTCTCTAGAGAGCAGCTGGGGATTTTAAGCACCCTGGAGAGAGGTGCAGACCCTGCCAGGATGATAAAGGTTGTCATCACTGGCAACTGACTCCTGACCCCGGGTCCTTTACTCGTATGTCCCAAGTAGGATACCATAGGCAGCTTCTAAAGGCTGCTTACCTAGATTCTTCTCAAAATTGTGTCCAAGATGTTAAGTAACCTGCTATTCCTGTTTAGTGGTTACATAACATGTACTTAGTGTCTTTGTGGAGCTTTGGGCTGGTAGGGGCAGGGATAGGGGAAAGCTAAACAGAAGTAGAAGAAAAGGTCCTTGTCCAGAGGAAGGTTATTTTAAGAGACAGGACATGTAATTTATAACAAATGGACATTTGCAATATAGCAACAGTCTGAGTCTAGAAGTGTTCAACCATCACATCGCTTCTCCTGACTTTTCTGTTGTCCTATGGCTATGAGACTACAGGGGTTGGGGGATGGGGATGCCCCCACCACCACCAGTGTGAGAATGAGATATGGTTGGGGAGGCGTGTTTGGCACTTTTACAAGGTTGCATTGTCCACATTTGCTTGGATGGTGGCATCTGTAGCCCAAATGGGCATTCAGTCTTTTCTTCTGCTGTGAGGTAAGAGTAATTCAGACCTAATGAATGAGAAGAGGGAGCACTTTGATCCACAGACTTTGGATTAACACTGTACCCACTCTTAGCAAAAGGGGACTTCTCTAACAAGCTAGCATTGTGTTAACCTGTCATTAACCCAGCATTAGAGACAGGTCACTGGGATGTTCATTCTGGCTCTCAGCCTGCTGTTATTTCCCCACTCTCACCTGTGCTAGTTCGCTTTCTCCAGAAGAGGAGCTGAGGTGGTCTTATCCTCAGATAGGACATGAGAAATTGGAATTTGGCAAGCAAGGGCTTCAGCATCCTTTAGTTTCTAAAGCAAGATCCCTTCAGAGAAGTCTAGCAGGAAGAAGCCAGGAGAATGTAGAATGGAAAAGAGCTCTTACTCCAAATTTTAGAGAAGTTTCAGCTCTACTTCTCATCTTTTCTCTCCTGGTCTTACTTGAATGCATGTTGGTAATCTGTATACATTACTATGACTGTGTCTATCACAAGTCCTACAAAATAAAAATGGACTTAAAAGTACTCTCTGCTGAGGCTGTAAGTTTTGTTTTGTGAGAAATAGGTAAAGACATTAGCATTTAATCTACTGGAATAAGCTGGTTGCTGTGGCTTATACCTGTAGTCCCAGATACTTGGGAGGCTGAGGCAGGAGAATCACTTGAGACCAGCCTGGGCAATATAGTGAGACCTCACCTCTAAAAAAGTTTTTTATAAATTTACTTGTCTAAAGTGGGGAAAGGGAAATTATTCTGTTTTCTTATTCTTGCTTCAAGACTATGACAGATTTGAAAGAGAATTCTAAAGCAGATTTAGAGAACCTGCTTCTCTTCTTATCTCCTAATCCCTAAATTGTAATTTAGCTCTTATCTGTATTGTTGTTTTGTTTTGGTAAAGGGATGATTTTTACATTGAGTTTTAAAGTAGAATAAGAAAAGCTTCTAAAAACTTGCATTGTGCTAGGGATCTGCCCTATATCTTTGCCTCTGGTGTTTCGTTGTTGTTGTTATTGTTTGTTTGTTTCCAAAGAAGTTGGAGTTAAGGACACAATATATTTGTACCCCTAGACTGAATGGGTGAGTATTCCATATGAGGATCTGGGTAATCCTCTTTGCAACCCACATTTGGTCTTCAGAGACACTGGCATTTTGAAGAAACATATGATATAGCTGTTTGGAAATAAATTCATCTATGTTACTTTTTTTTTCTTTTTTTTTTTTTTTTATGAGCAGGAGATCTTAATTGACAGAAACTCATTGGTGGTTGGAGTGGCCAATGGGCACGGGAAAAAGTATCCAGTAATCAGAAGAATTGTATCTGGGTTATGTAATCTTATGCACATTCCATTGTCTTTGCCAAGCCCAGAAGCCATGTTGTGTTCATTGTTAAGAAATTTGATAGATTTACCCAGCTTTTCTATGTATTTTGACTTATTGAAAATATGTAACAACTGAGTCGGGTTGCAGCACTGGTGGGGTAGAATCGACTTTCCCTGAAGGTGACACAGATGTCAGAATTGTGTCCAGGGATTTAATTTAGACCCATACTGTCCAGGAGACTGTCTCTAGTTGGATCTCTGTGCTGACTGACTGACAGACAGACTTTAGTGTCTGTGTGCTGACTGACAGACTCTAGTAGTGTCTATATGTTGACCAACTGGTAGACCAGGAGGATCTGTGTGCTGATTGACTCTAGTAGGATCTGTTTGTCACTGACAGACTGTAGTAGTGTCTGTGTGCTGACTGATAGATAGACTATAGTAAAATTTGGGTGTTGCCTGACTAACGGTCTAGGGTCTGTAAGCTGACAGTCTGCCTGCTTTCTGATTGTATCCATTGAAGTGTATGTACATTATGGTAATTCTCTGTCTATTAAATGTGTCTAACAAAGGAAGGAATTAAGCACTCCACGTGTTTTCTTTATAGGGGAGTTCTGTACACTATGATTTTAAATAGATATTTCTTATATAGTAGTGGCCAAATTCTCATTATTTTGTACAAGATAAAGGTTATGCATCACTTTTATGGTATTTTGTGAACTCAGCTAAGGGAATGCCTGTTCAGAGCCTGGAGTTGTTACCTTTACTTGAAGTCATCTCATCCAGTCCCCTGCTTTAGGGCAGGACTTCAGTTCCACTGTTCATTTCTGAAGCTTCTGTGTCCCCAGCTTACCCTGTTCTGAAATGTTGTATTCCATTGGACAGGGCTGCTATTTTTAGTCAGCCATGCATTTGGATTTTACACTTAATCTAGTAAGTAAAAATGAGAAGAAAATTTGGCATTTAAAAATTGATTTTAAGGGTTGGCAAAAGTATTTTTTCCAGTAAGCCTTTCACTGGATATCTGTGACCAATGTTTACCTACGCAATGTTTTTGTATCTGAATTGCTTATGTACGTTTTTTATTATATTGACCTAACAAGAAGATCAACTTATGCTGGTATGGTGATGGTTTTGCTATGGCAAAATCAAAGGGCTGATCATACATGGTGCCCTTTGGGAAGGGGGATGGTGTGGGGCTGAGCACCTCTGGGTTGAATGGGAATGGGTCAGATTGGGAAGCCTAGGAAGAGAGTTCTACTGTAGATTTCCTAGGCACTGCTCTGTTGAAATAGGAACATAAGTCTTTAGCAACATTCTGATTTAATCGGGTGACACTGATAACAAAGTATGCCACTCAGATCCATTTAAAGTGTGCATAACTGTATTTGAAATGTGTTTTTGTGTGCGTGTGTGTAGAATGGGTAAATAAAATTGTTGAGTAACTTGAACCTATCAGAAGGCTTCTGGGTTTTTTGTTTAGTATTTTCAGTTGTGTTTCCCATCCCTTCCCCACCCCTAAAACTTTGCCTCATGCTGCACAAGGATTCAGACTCAGACAAGCCAACAGAAGTTCGCACTGTAATTGAAGACCATGGTGTAGCCGTGGCTCTCTTCTGCCACCTTCTGGGGAAGATAGGAAGAACATTATGGAAAGCACATGAACTTCAATAGTTGTGTGTTCCTGTTGGCACTTATGCAAGAATTAAGAAACAATTACATTTCACTGCACTGTGCAGTAATTCCCATTAGCAACATGTAACTCATATTATGTATTATAAAGAAAACTTTTGGAGATTTTTTAGCACTTGGTGGACTGTTGTTCCTAAAATGTGATTTGCCCATTTCTAAAGAGATTATGGTCAAGGGTATAAAACAGCATTTAATTTTTTTTGAGACAGGAAATACAGATGGGATTGTTTTACCATTCGCATGCCTTATTCCTTGTTACCTTAACAAAGACCAGAAGCTCATTAGAAATGCAGAATCCCAGGCCCCATCCCAGACCTCCGGAGTCAGAATCCTCATTTTACTAGGACGACCAGGTGATTCATATGCACATTTAACATTTGAGAAGCACTGTTCTAGGGGAAAAATTTCCCACAAGGTAAAATGTTAGATGCCAGTTAATGGGAAGAAGTTGATCTGCTCTGATGACTGGTTTCAGAATGGACTCGTATAACTAAAATAGTAGGGACCCTCCTCAGAAGCCAAGTAGCCCCTGACTACAGTGTCACTTTATTGGCATGGTCTTTTGGCTGACATAGCCTACACGATTTCCTTCTACCAGAGGGATCCTGACTGCTCCTGCTTCATATCTTGGGTATGTAGCTTATGGTCCAGGTCTGAAAGGAGTGCCTGGTCCAATATGGTCACGAGGTCAGCTCCTCAGGGAAAGAAGACCATGACTACGCCATTCGGGTAGTCAAGGTGTGTGTGTAGGCACACCAGTGTGTTCATGCATGTGTATGGATGTGGGGATGGGGAGGTTGAGGGAGGAGGGAAGGTAGGGGAAGGATTCTGTTCTACTTTTATGTTCGCTGCTTGGCAGTGCTGTAATAGCTTTGTGTCTCTTCCTCTCTGGCTCGTAGGCAGCAGAGACCACACTGGCTGTGCGCAGACGCCCCTCCGCAGCGTCCCTCATGTTGCCTTGCTAATGATGTGGATGTTCAGGCCTCACCTCTCCAAACGACTGGGATCTACTGAAAAGCTTGGGATGTCAGCTTCACAGAGGCTAGAACAGGAAGTTAAGTGGGAACTGGACTTTGGGGGCCACCAAAACGAGGCCTGGAGAAACGTCACCATATTTCCTCCCCTCCTGCCTAATGGGAATATCAGTTACACTGAAAAATTTAACTTCCCTGTGCCTCAAAACATTTAGCAACCTGAACCAGTGACTTTTTGTCATCTCTGTGCTGAGTTTGGTCCAAGTTGGTCAATCTCATTCTGTATAGGCATTTAACATCCTACCTGTGACTGTCTGCATCCTTTGCTGGCTCTTTTTTGCCCAAAGTGCAAATGCACTTCTTCAGATTTACTTTTCAAGTGAGAAGGTAAGAGCTGGTCTCTGCCACTGTTCCAGGCGAGCAGGCTAGAGTCTAATATACTTATGCTAGCAGTTACCATTTGCCACATTGGAAGCAAGAGACAAATCACCAGGTGAATGGAGGGTCTTCTGAGAAATTCAGTCCCTAAAACATCTTCTCTGCCTTGATAGAAGAACAGTGTCAGTGGCAACCTTTTCATTTAGAGAAGTTTTTCTTGTTCCAGGCCCTTCAGGACAGGATCTGACTGCAAGACTCCCCAAAATGGGTACCCATCTTCTAAGTTCCCTTTTGTAGCTACTGTACTTTTGACTTGATGCATGTGCCTCTCATGCATCAAGATGGGGCTGATGTGGTTCTCCTGGGTGGTTGGGAATGTGGACTAGACAGAAAAGTAGAGTGCCATTTATATCACGTGAGTAAGTCAAGAAAGCTCCTTGAGAATCAGCCCGATCAGGGAGTGTTTTGGCTTCAGAACAGGTGGAAGGAGACACGCCCCTCTGTGGGCTCTGTCACCATGATACAGTCCTTGAGAGAGCTGTGGCTGTGACTTGGAGGGCAGTAGTCTCCTGATACCTGCCTCTTGGCCACTGGTCACTATTGTGGTCACTGATCTCTCATATAAAAGTGAGGGTGGCGGGGTCATGGACCAGCGCCTCAGTGCATTAGTCATTCGCTTTTCCTTACAGACAAATCAGATAACTCTTCCCCAGTGATTGTCAAATGTATGAATGTATCTCTGTAAATGTGGTTTTGACATGTCACTGTTACTGAAGGAGAGTATGGAATCCCCACAGGATATTATATCTTGCAAGGAAAGTCTATTTTTTAAAGAATAGTATGTTTTTAGCTTTACTTTTCTTTCTTTTCCTTTTCACTCAAATGCTCACTTGCTGGGCAAAAGGGTGAGTAGCAAGAAAAGTAATGATATGTAGCTTTTCTCAAATGGTTCTTTTATACTGTGGATGATACAGGACTCTGTTACCTAAGATGTGATAAGCTGGGCTGCAGGCGGTTCAGCATCCAGCAACTAGGAGCTGCTTTTCTACGTACAAAGCTGCCTTCAGGAAGGCTCCTTACCCTGTAGCAGATGATTTTCATCTGGCTGCCTACCGCATGCTGTACTATAATGATTTAGTTGTGATATGGATTTCTCTCTGCATCGAAAACTGTCTTTTGATGATCAGACAATGTTTATATTTAGTTATTTATTCTATCCATGTAAGGCATTTTTGAGTTTTCTTGTCACTGTTTGCATGTATTTAATCAGAATGTAATATAATTTATGTTGTCAGGTTTTTTTTTGTTTGTTTGTTTGGGGTTTTTTTTGTAGAAATTTAGGTAGTTAGAGCTTTTAAGTCTAATGTCATATTAACTTAAGTTAAATTTCCAGAACGTAGATATCTGTCTTCTGTAAAAGGAAAATAACGATGTTAAGGGACAGTGAATTTTTTTTGAATACTTTGTTTCTCATTGATTTTTATTGTAAGTGTAAACCAAGAGATGCATTTCTCTGGAGAAGTGTTTATCTCCTGGATTAATAAAATCATGCTAAAATATGCGAGTAATATGTATTGCTTTTGTAATAAGAACATAAAATAAAATTATTTTTAATTAAAAATGCAATTAATTTTTAAGATAACACACGAAAAGATAACATTTGGTACATTATATGTATGCAAAATATTAATAACATTGTCTAAAATGTGTTTGAAACTAGCTTCTTTAAGATGATTTTCAAATTATTAGATTATATGTATATTTCCAACTAGTGATTTTAACCAGTTCAAGTTTCATCAGCATTTCAAAATGATATCAGTAAGATTGTGACTACCATGCATTACTGACGTCCTAGAGTTTCATTTATTTATTTAACAAATATTTAGTGACTACCCATTAGTTGCCAGGCAATGACTAAAACAAAGTCCCTGACCTTTGTTTAGAGTTTATTATTGGAAAGGAAAGGTTAACAGCAGGTTTGTAACCTAACGCATCTCTTTCTACTGGGGATGCTTTCCCCCTCATGAATGACCTTCACCAAATAATGTTGGATAATGGTTACATAATGTATATGATAAAGTAACTTGGAACAATCTTTTGGGGTCAGCAGCAATAGAGATAAAATGAAACATTCATAATAACAACAGAGGATTTCCAAATTCTTTAAGTTCAAGGGTTCTTCTGATAGAATGAAAATGACTTATGAATTCTCCAATTTGAAAACAGGTGAGAGACAGTGGTTATGTGTACTGATGAATACATTGAGCTTTAATAATCTAGCTGGTGGGCTGACAGTAATGAGGATGTGGTGTCAAGGTTTAATTTCCTTGGAAATATCTCCAGGCACTTCTGCAAGTGTTCTCTAATTCAGCCATCAAGTCATCATTTGTAAAAGGCTGGGGTGTCTGGAATCATTCTCTGGGTTTTACAGAGAGGTAAATGAGCACCATTACTGAGTCACACACCTCAACACTCGTGATTTTTATAAAGCCAATAATATCTCAGAACAAGGTAAATGTTAAGACCCAACAGACACATGCCACACTGTTTTAAAATGTTGCTGGTAACTTAGCAAAGATACCAGCATTAGAAAATGATTACTCAGCGAGTACTTCAGTGTTGGGTGATGGTCATTATTTGCCTTTCTCCTGTAGGTTTCATCATTACACCATTTCTTAAACTTCTCCAGGGTCTTCACTTAGGACTCACTGTGAGGAGCATCAACCTTCAGGTTCACTAGCTTGCCCTGGCTATTTATTTTTCATTTTTGTAGAAATAGGGTCTCACTATGTTGCCCAAGCTGGTTTTGAACTCGGCAGGAGGTGATGAGCCCATGGGCACTTCCTGTGGCGTCTGACAATGGCCCATCACCAAGGTTTATGGTCTCTAGAAGTATTTTGCACCATCCAACCTTCATTCATTCTCTTGAACTCATTTGAGAATTTGACATGCTAAGGACTCTCTACCCAGAAAAAGGTTGACACATAGGTTTTGCATACAGTTTAGGGAGGTCATGACCTGAAACCCATTCTTGGACCTCAGGGTAGGAAACAGGAGCTACGTAATACTGTCCATACTCTCTTGTCCATTTCTCTCCTTTAACATGTAAAAGAAAAAATAATCCAGTGACATGCATTTGATACTATTTAAGCGGAGGAGGGGAATATATGATGTACTGGAATTTTTTTACTGCACACTGGGATATTTAAGAACGTGGTTTTTAATGAGATAGCATCACTGTAATCATGGAGAGTAATATTTTCTTTCTCTTAAAAACATCAAAGCACAGTCTTTCTTCTTTTATTCTCATCAAGCCAATGTCAGCTGCATTCCTTCAGCCCTTTACAAGCAGAACAACTACGCTTCTGAATTCCCAAAGGCATTTAAATGCCTTTTTGATTGTATGCAACACTCTACCTGTGAAAATCAGATTAGATTCTATAGGAGAGTTTCCCTGCAATTAAGCAAAATAATTTCAGAAGCATAGGAACGCTTGGGAAGCAGCACTGTAGCATGGGGTCTACTCTCAACATGTTTAATGCCCTTCACCAAACATCCAGCCTACTTTCAGAGAATAACTTGTTTATCCATTTGGGTTTCCTTCATCACTGATATGTTTGCCTCTTCATTGCCATTCAGTTTTCACTTCCTAGGTTCTCTCCTCTTTCCCCCATTGTCTTTGTAGAATTTATGGATGGGAAGGGAAACTGTGTCAGAGTATGCTTTAATAAAGTCTGTTAAATATTCTTTTCTGAATTTAAATTCCTGAGTCATTTCACTCAAACTCTGTTTCAGATTAGAGTTGGTTTCAGCTGTGGATTTCAGTAAATCTAAAATAACAACTCCAAGGTCACATTGGTTCAGGCTGGTAATCTCAGCTCTTTGGGAGGCTGAAGCGGGAGGATTGCCTGAGGCTAGGAGTTCAAAACCAGCTTGGGCAATATAGTGAGACCCCCCCCCCACCCATCTCTACAAAAATAAAAAATAAATCAGACAGGAATGGTGGTGCACACTTGTAGTCCTACCTACTCGGGAGGCTGAAGTGGGAGAATTGATTGAGCCTGGGAGTTTGATGCTGCAGTGAGCTATGATCATGCTACTGAACTCCAGCCTGGATGACAGAGTGAGACTCGCTCTCTCTCTCTTTCTCTGTCTCTCTCGCTCAAAAAGAACAATGTGTTGGATTCTACTTCATAGAGGAAGGTGGCTACTCCAGTTGCAGAAAACATGTTTACACTCTGGCCAGCAGGAAGGAAGAAGGCAACAGGACATACCAGCTTCTTTTAAGGATATTTCCCTTCTCATGTAACCCATAAATATATACACCTACTGTAAAGTTAAAAATTAAAAAAAGAATATTTCCTAGATTTTGCAAGCACACTTATGCTTATACCTCATTGGTCAAAATGTAGTCAAGTGGCTACATACAGCTTTCATGCAGGCTGGAATATTTTTATTCCAAGTGGCTTTGTGCCAGTTATAATTAGGGTTTAGTTACCAAAGAAGGGTTCAATAGCTATTGAAGAAGTAGCAACCTGCCTTAGTAGGTAATTGAAACATTGTAGCAGGTCTGAAGAGCTATAACAAGGTGAGCAGTAGCCTTTGAGGAGTTAGGCTGCCATTGCTTTGTAAGAGAGGAAAAAATTATTTTTCCTTCTACCCTCCTAGGTTCTCTGCCTGGGACTTTGTAAATTAGACTAACAAAACAGATTGACAAAAGAAACCCAAACAATTTATTAATGTGTGAAGCACACCCCACCTGGGAGGAACCTCATGATGAGTAACTCAAAGGGGAGTTAGAGCTTAGATTTATATAGCATCTTAACAAAAGAGCAATAACTTTGTAGAGAAGTGACAAGACAAAGGAAAAAACGTTAAGTTTCTAGGGCTGCAAATTTTGAGAAGGCAAATACCTGAAAGAAACTAATGGAGAAGGTTTGTGTAGGTCTGTCTTGACACTGACTTCTTTGTGGACATAAATCTCCCTCCGGAGAAAGGACTTACAGCAGTCCTCATTCCTCAGAAGTTTCTGCTTAGAGTCATCTAAGAGATACTCCAGGAAGGCTTCTTTCTGCTTCCATTGCATCTCATTTGCCTGCAGTTCAAAATAATCTTTATGCCAAAGAGGCATATTTTAAGGTGACTTATTCTTGTCCCCTAAAACTTAGAGTAACAATGCATCAACTCTGATCTTGCCACAGTGCAGGTCCATCTAAACTCATAATTAAAGCTTATTCTACAGTGTTTCATGCACAATTTGATTTTTACAAATTCTTTTTAAAATTTACATTCCCATGGAATCTGCCTAAGGCTACTTTTTGCAAAGCTTATAGCTTGCAGTGAACGCCAAGAATGAGTTCTCAGAAAATTCCAGCTGAGCGGGGGAGGGAGCAGCTCTTCTGAGGAGAGTCCGCCCCAATATCTGCCCACCATGTATTCATTGAAAGGGCTTGTTACACCACAAACATCCACCAGATGGCTTTTTGAGGTCGGGTTGTGAGACACCTGTGGCCTTGTCAAAGCACTCAAACCGCATTCTCAGGAGGCTGTTTTCAGCGTTCCTTATCACACACTCCACTCCTTGTCCTGTTTTCAGGGTCAAGGAATTATATTCTCATGCACAAATAACATACACACAGTGCCTCAGCATTTTTCCATGCCCCAACCTCAAATGCCTTGTACATAAGTTTGAGTATGTGGCTGTGCGCCCCCCACACTTTTCTGGCCCAGGTTGTTTTGGTCAGGCATTGGGGAAACATCAACCCAACGTGTAAAAAACATTAAAAGAGCAATTTAAATCTTTTCTGAATTCTCTTGACAAAGACCAAAGGGAATCCATTCATGACACCCTGTAGAACTTCTTAAAATAGTCTTTCCTGAATTCTCTTAAAATCTTACACACACTGCAATGTGTGTGCCCCTTTTATAACTTCCCACAACTCTTCCCCCAGATTGGGCATTGCTGACTTTTATATTTCTACTCTTCCTTCCTCACCTCCTGATCTCTTCCTTTAACTACCATCTGCCCATTTCTTTGTGTTTTGTTGTTATTTGTTTTTTTGAAACAGGTTCTTGCTTTGTTGCCTACACTGGAGTGCAGTGGTGCAATTACAGCTCACTGAAGCCTTGATCTCCTGGACTCAGGTGATCCTCCTGTCTCAGCCTCCCAAGTATCTAGGACTACAGGCACATGCCACCATGCCTGTCTAATATATATAAAATTTTATTTTTTATAGAGATGAGGTCTTGCTATGCTGGTCTTGAACTCCTGTGCTCAAGCCATCCACCTGCCTCGGCCTCCCAAAGTGTTGAGATTACAGGTGTGAACCACTATGCCCAGCTTGCCCATTCCATTGTAAAGCAATGAAGCCAGTCTGAGAACAACAGTTTCACCTGATCTATTACCCCAGTTCTCCAGGAAACGATCTGGCATAGATCCAACTATCTTTTAATGTTCAAAGGAATAGAAGAGCCTGCTAACGCTCATTTATTAATTCGCCTAATTTTGGATACAAATAGTAAAATATATAAGCCTGTAATCTTTATTTACTCTTGTGGTGTAAATATTCACCCATCAGGAGCCCCAGGAGGACCCTGTCCTGGAGCTGAGGGTAAGCCCTGAAGAATATGCAGGCTTGGAAGGGGAGCAGAGGGAGGCAGGAAGGTGGTGAAGGGGGAGGTGTTGGGGAGAGGAGGAGGGAGGCAGAGAGAAGAGGAGAAATTCCTCTGTCTCTGTCTCTCTCTGATTCACTCTGTCAGTGTCTCCTCTGTCTGTCTTTTGTCTCCATCTCTGTCTCTGATGCTCTTGCTCATCCTGTGGGGAGAGAGGGCTGAGGAGGGAAGAGTGGGATTGGGGCGGGGGACAATGGCAGTGCCAGGTGGAGACTTGTCCTTCAGAGTCCCCAGACACCCCTTCCTAAGCATCTCTATCTCTCTGCATCTATCTCTGATTCTGCCTCTCCCCCAAGACCCACCATATTACTCTCTTTCTCTCTCTCAATCACTCTCTGTTTCTTTCTTTAATCTCTAATTCTAAAATCCAAAAACCTTTGAGACAAAGTTTTCTTCTAATTCATTTGACAGAAAAAACCTGACCCAAACTTTGTGATGCTATTTATTGTCTCTATAGAGCCCACTTAGTGTGAATATTTTTGTATTTTTATATTTTATGGAGAAATATTAGTAAGACAATAGTATAAGTGATATGGTTTCTAAAGTCCTATAGTTCTGAATCTGAAGTAAGCCATTAAGATGAAGAATTACTTGCAATTATTTCCTGTAATACATGTTCTATTTTATGTCCATATTTATGTAGGGCTAAACTAGATTTTCCTTCCTTTTTAAAATAATTTATTGTACAAACATTCTGTATATAAATCTATAAAAGATACTGAAGAACATGCATTCCTCAAGAAGTAGAACATGGGGTATGTAAATAAAAATTATTCAAAGCTTAGGATTAGCAAAAAGAGATCACTGGAGTAAATGCTCAATGGATTCCTGGGCATTTTCTAGCAGGCCCTCTGGAGATGATCTCTGACTGACTTTATTTAAAGTTCTTTTAGAACTCTTTAAGCATAGAGGTTAATTTGCAGTAAATTTATAGGAATGCAAATGACTCTTATCTGAGAACAATGCAAATGATTCCTGGTTATAGTAGAGCAAATATATTTTGTCCATTTTGTTTTAATTACTTTCCACCAGGTAGAAAAGCTAATTGCAAATATTACAGTTTGTTACTCTGTAGGATATTAACCAGTTTTGTATCTATTGGAAAGGTCACTTCAGAATGCTTTTGACTGACTGACTATATGCATTCCTATTCCTCAAATTCTTCTTTGAACCAGTTGTAGCATCTGAATGTTTCCTCATTAATTAATGAGTTGAATTAAATCTTTGATATATATTCATCTTATATTTACTTGTGTCATATTTTTAACTTTTTGAAAATCATGTCTTAGAGGGTGCTTACACTATAGGAATTTGCATATTAGTTAAGAAAAGATAAGACATAAAAAATCATAAGGCAGCATGTGATAAATGGCAAGTGATCATATGGATTTTGGGGGCTGTGGTAGAGTTTCTGGATGACAGTTTTTTTCATTTATTTCTGCATTACTTTCATTCATTTAACAGACAACTGCTTTGCAATATGAAGCACCGTGGAAGGGAATACAAATACAAATCAGACACAAACCCTGTCCTGGAGTTAGCAGTTTCCTGTGGGAATAAAGGGGAGGAAAAAAACACCTTTCCTCTACCATATTGTATTCAGTGGCTGGGACCTGCAAATTAGACTAAGACAGATTAACAGGAGAGAAAATTCTATTTATACATGTAACTTGAGTACATGTGGGAAAACTCAGTGATAAGTAATTCAAAAAGTTGGTTAGAATTGGGGCTTATACATCATCTTAATAGGTGAAGGTGGGGAGAAGAAAGGCACTTACAAGAAAACAGATTATTGGCCGGGTGCGGTGGCTCATGCCTATAATCCCAGCACTTTGGGAGGCCAAGGCGGGTGGATCATTTGAGGTCAGGAGTTCAAGACCAGTTTGGCCAACATGGTGAAACCCCATCTCTACTAAAAATACAAAAATTAGCCAGGCGTGGTAGCGCATGCCTGTAATCTCAGCTACTCGGGAGACTGAGGCACAAGAATGGCCTGAACCTGGCAGGTGGAGGTTGCAGTGAGCCAAGATCATGCCAAGACACCATCTCAAACAAAAAAGAAAACAGATTATTTTTTGGAAAGGCAAGTGGGTTTTCAGGGGAAAAGTAGGAAATTAGAAAGTTTTGTGATAATGTTTGTGTATATAAGTACGAGTGTTCTTTCTGTCTCCTTCAAGGCCATGAAATTTCTCTGGAGAAGGAATTTGAAATATGTTTTACTCATGCTCTCCCCTCCAGGATAGACCTACCCTGAAAAGGAATTTATGGCAACCTTATCTCCAAGGTTGCTGCCTTTAGTCAGATAAGGAAAGCCCCCAAAATCTCTGTTCCTTTCCATATCACTGAATCTCAAATATCTTCAGCTTAAAAGAATCTTAACGCCAAATATTTGGGGGTGGCATATCCTGATTCCTTTCAGGAGAAAGACATAGATTAATCATCACAAACAGTAGTAATGGATGGAGAAGAGAAGAACATTTGCAACCTTACTGTGTCCTTAATGCTTTATTATTCTATTAAAACCTGAAATTTTGTAGGAATTTTTCCCCAGTTTCATAATTACAGCACAGAGAACCAACCAAGGGTTATAGTAGTCACAAGCAAGATGATATGGGATCCCTCAAAACAATTTTACATGCCTTAATTCCTGAGACCAAAGCATTCTCCTCACCTCTCTCTTTACTCATTTGGTTAACTCTGGACTCAGGCCAAATCCTGTCCCTGGAAGAGCCACAAAGTAGGAAGCCTGGGTACAGGCCTGGCAAGCGAGAACAATGTGTCACTGCAGGACTTTGGAGCTCTCAGCTTTGGAGTCAGTTAAGACCAGTTCCTTGCTGGGAAGCCCTAACTCTGGAGGGACAGAGACAGGTAAGGTTAGTTTACTTCCTTGAGCTTTCGTCTTCAGTGCTGCTTACAGCCTTAGGATATCTGGTATTCAGGAAAGGAGGATGAGGTAGCATTCAAAATTGTGTTCTACCTGGGCAAGAACCAGGGATTGACAGCCCGTTCTCTTTCCCCAGTGCTGGCCAGAGTTACAGAAGTTGGACTGTAAACATTGGCAACTATTGACAGAAGTCAAGGTCATGGCAAGACCATTTGGCCCATGTTTGTTGGGGAAGGATAAGCCTGCGTTTCAAAAAGACTGGTCAACTGGATTTGCATTCCCAGAAACCAGGAAATTTCTGAAACTGAGTTTTAAACCTGGCAACTCTTTTACCATCCCTTTGTATTTTTGCAGTTCCTCCCTATACCAGCTTCCTTACAGCTGTTCTGATTTCCTGTCGTAAGATTTTTTCTTTTCATTTTCTCCAGGGAGGGTAAATCAATATAACCTCTTCTCTAGAGAGGAGGTGGTTAGGTTGGTCTTAAGCAGTGTTAGAAGATCTATTTTTTTTCAAACCAGGTGTCTGAGCTGGGTGAATTCCAGCCTGGGGAGAGGACTTTGATCACCAGATGTTTTTTTGGTGTGCGTGCTGTCTTATGGTTGCGTGGCGAGTTTCTGCTTCAGATGGTACGTATGCTTTCCTTCAACTCAGCTTACAGGCATTTGGTGTCCTTTTGCGGTGTTTTGAGGAACTCTGTCTAGGGCTTTAAGGAAGTTTACATTTATAATATCTTTATTCTTCTATTGAAAAATCTCAAATTGGCCTAATGCTCTGCACTCAATAGGAGCTTAGTGTACATTTAATGATAACCCTGATCTCTGAAGTGGGTGGTTACTGTTTTTTTACTTTCCCTTTCTGTTCTGGGAGCAAAAAGAGTACCAATTTCAAAATCCTGGGAGGTCTTACTTGTTATAAACTCCAGGATCGCTATTTGTGTAGGGGACTATTTGTTTAGAAGTGGACAACTTGTGGTTGAATTTGAGTAAAATTCCTGTTATACTTTTGAAAATAAAACTTCGGAATTCCGGCCGGGCGCAGCGGCTCAAGCCTGTAATCCCGGCACTTTGAGAGGCCGAGGTGGGCGGATCACGAGGTCAAGAGATCGAGACCATCCTGGCTAAGACAGTGAAACCCCGTCTCTGCTGAAAATACAAAAAATTAGCTGGGCGTGGTGGCGGGTGCCTGTAGTCCCGGCTACTTGGGAGTAGAATACAGAGTACTTGGGAAGAGCACAGGAATCAGGATCAATAATCCAGCAAAAAGACATGAGAATGGGGAAATCTAATAAGGGTTCTCTGACAGCACATGATATGCCAAGTGAATCTGTTTTCTTTTTTCTTCCAGCAGAGCACTGTCCAGAGCTTCCTCCAGTGGACAATAGCATATTTGTCGCAAAGGAGGTGGAAGGACAGATTCTGGGGACTTACGTTTGTATCAAGGGCTACCACCTGGTAGGAAAGAAGACCCTTTTTTGCAATGCCTCTAAGGAGTGGGATAACACCACTACTGAGTGCCGCTGTAAGTTAGATCTTTCTGTATCTTTGCCCATATTGATATCCTGTTTTACTCCTTCACATCCTACTTCCTATAGGCTGTGGTAAAACTTTATAAGAAAACAAAAATTCTCAATTTCTAGGAGACCTCTTTTAAAGCACTCCAGTGGAGGAGCTTCTCTTGGAAGCTCTATGATCAGATCTTGATCAGTATTAATTCAGTTGAATTAACAGAATCAATTCCCTCTATGGGAAAGAAATAATTTCTTCCAGATATTAGAACTAATTTTTTTTTGCTATAATTTGTTTAACCTTATATTGCTTTAAAAATGTTTATGTTATGGAAAATTTAAAATGTATACAAACGACAGAAGAGTCAAATTCACTCATATAGACTCATCACATAATTTCATCAATTATCCACACATGATAATCTTGTTTCATGTATATCCTCTTTATTATTTTGAAGTAAGTGCATTGTATCATTTTATTTCACCTATCATATAACTTTTGAACTGGGAATAGTTTGTATTCTCAGTTTACCAATGTGATAATTGAGATCCAGCTGACTTGCTCAAGGTCACAAAACTCATTTCTGGTATCCTCTGTGGAGATGGGGAATAATTAATCCATATCCTATTTATTACTATTATTTTTTAAAGAATAGTTGCATTAGTTCTCTTGTATACCTAGAGTAGAGCACACCGATATTATTATCCTTCATTCATATAACCAAACTCATATATCCCTGTGCATTCTCTCCTGTTTTTTTCCATGCCATGGGAAAAAGCACAACAAAATAAAAAATGCTAAGTAAGTGTATATTTGGCTGGTTGAAAGGGAAGGAAATACTTGCTTCAAACATAGTCTCACTATTTTGAGCCATGCTTAATATAACAGTACAATAAACATACGATTGGTAACTTTCAGTTACGTGATTAATTACTTTCAGTTGCCAATTCATGTTGTTCTTGTGCATGACAAAGCTCTTTTGGGCTGTACTTAGGTCAATCTCCTCTTTTTTTCATTCTGCATTGATATGGTAGTACCATGTACTTCACTCAATTAAAAATGTGCAGTATTAACTCTAATTTGCTGTTTTCTCACTGAAGACTGAGGAGGTCTGGCCTTTGCTGTGTTGGGCTTCAGCTTTGCCCTTTCAGCTTATTGCTTATTTTCTTCTTCAGTGGGCCACTGTCCTGATCCTGTGCTGGTGAATGGAGAGTTCAGTTCTTCAGGGCCTGTGAATGTAAGTGACAAAATCACGTTTATGTGCAATGACCACTACATCCTCAAGGGCAGCAATCGGAGCCAGTGTCTAGAGGACCACACCTGGGCACCTCCCTTTCCCATCTGCAAAAGTAGTAAGTACAAGAGAAACCATCAAGGATCCCCAAAATACTGATTAGTAGTCTAAACTTAGACATTTGCCACATCCCTGGGATGCTTTTCTCTTTTTTTGTATCAGAGACAGGCTTAAGATCTAGCAGACAGCCATGAAACAAGTGGAGCTCACAGAACCAAATCTCACCTCAAGAGAATACATTCCATTGCAATGAACAGCATCCAAAGCACACATTTTTCCTTCTCAGATAGGGGTCCTGTCCTACTAGGTGTAATGTAGGGTAGTTTGGAGCATCGACTATTTTATTTCTTAATTTCAAGACAGTGACTTTGTTTGAAAAGTAAACACAAAACGGGAAAAAGATCATAACTCATCTATTGCAAAATTATCTACAAGAGGCTAAAGACCCTCTTTCTATCACTACAATTCATATCTCTCAGAGTTAGTAAATTGGGTGTGTTTATTTCATGACTTTTTCTTATGTTTATACAGACATTTAAAACAAACACACACAAATAAAATATTTAAATTAAATAAGCATTAAATGCCATTTTGTGTGTATGTATATATATAAATATACCTATAGAAAAGGGACTTGCTATACATATTTTTAAATTGCTTTTTTTCATGTAACTATATACATGGCCACTTTCCTACACCAGTCCATGTAGCTCTATTGCCCGCTATTTAATAACTGCATATGTGTATGTCATAATTTATTATATGGCTCCCATATTATTTTAATATTTTTTATATTTGGAACAATGCTGAAATGAATATTTTATACACACACATATTCTTATGTCTACGTTGTTATTTCTTTCTTTCTTTTTTTTTTTTTTTTGAGATGGAGTCTTACTCTATTGCCCAGGCTGGAGTGCAGTGGTGTGATCTCGGCTCACTGCAACCTCTGCTGCCCAGGTTCTAGCGATTCTGCTGCCTCAGCCTCCCGAGTAGCTGGGTTACAGGTGCCTGCCACCACGCCCAGCTAATTTTTGTATTTTTAGTAGAGACGGGGTTTCACCATCTTGGCCAGACTGGTCTTGAACTCCTGATCTCGTGATCCACCCACCTCGGCCTCCTAAAGTGCTGGGATTACAGGCGTGAGCCACCGCACCAGGCTACTACATTGCTATTTCTATAGGATAGATTCCTAAAATGATTGCTGGATCACAGGATGCTATTATTTGCAGAATATACTTCAAATATCCAAGAAAGTCTACTAAAATATTTAATATATACTTGGACACAAAATAAATATTGAAAAAAATCAATGTTTTCATTTTCTATTAATAATTGTTAGTTGAATTTGAAATGTAAAAATAATTCGATTCACAAGATCTATATGAAAATTTACTGAAAGATATAAAATAAGACTTGAATGAAAGAAAAGACATGCATGATCCTGGATGGGCAGACTTACTATTACAGTGCAATGCCTCCCAGGATTTTAAATTCAAAAATATGAAAAAAACATTAATTAAAGAATCTCATCCAGTAGGATACACATCTAACATTGTAAATATTTTTGGGAAAATGATGAATGATGTATACATTTGACTGGATCAAAGGGAAAGGAATACTTGCCGTATTAGATAGTAAAAAATACTACAAAGTTACTATGAGCACAATATGGCAAACTGTAGGTACTACAAATTATATATCATTAAAATAGCAAAGTATAGGTACATATAAGTAGAACAGATTAAGTCAGGAGGAAAAGTCTATTCAATAGTGATGGAATAATTATCTATTTGGAAGAAGACAAAGTTAGGGCTCTAGCTCACACCATATTCATAATACATTCCAAATGGATTTTAAATATATAACTATAGAAAGCAAAATTATTAAATCATTAAAAGAAAACATGAGATAATATATTTATTACATTGGGATGGGGAAAGCCTTCCTAAGCAGTTTCATAAAACTCAGGAAGTCATAAAGGAAGAAAATGGGCAGATTTAATTAAATTTTTAAAAGAAAAACTTCTACATACTAAAAGACATCATATTGAATAAAGTATTTGCAACATATTTGATGGTTAAAGAGTTAATGTTTTTAATAAACAAAGATCCCCTAGAGATCAGTAAGGAAAAAAACAACCCAATAGAAAATAAGCAGTTGGGTAAGGACAGGCAATTCCAAAATAATGGCCCTAAACAGCACTTCTATCTCCTGATTATATGAAAGGATATTGAACATTACAAATGATTATAGAACTGGAAATTAAAATTAGATATACATCTTTTACTGATCAGATTAGCAAAAAATGAAAAGATGGATTTAATTTAATACTATTCATGACCTGAGGAAATAGCCATTTACGTCAGTGAGAGTGTAAAGTGCTATCACTATTTGGATGTATTTTGGCAGTAGCTACTAAAATAATAAAAGCCAGGCGTGGCAGTGCATACCTGCAGTCCCAGCTACTTGGGAAGCTAAGGCAGGAGGATAGCTTGAGTCCAGAAATTTGAGGCCAGCCTAGACAACACAGTGAGGCCTGTCTCTAAAAAAAAAAAAATGAAAAAGAAATAATAAAGACAGGCAGTTTAAGAGCACAAACTATATATGCTCTTACATGAGGGAATTTGGGGTTATTTAAAACTTGCATACATACTATTATATATACAGTTAAATTACATGCATATAATAGCATTTTATGTCATTAGCTTGACACAAGTTTAAAGTATTTCCTTATTTCTTCCAAACATTTTCTGGTTTACTCTCTTTTAATTCAGTAGTTTCTATCCTAGCTCTTAACCACAGGATCCCTGTCTTTTTATGTCACTTCATTATCTAAATCTAGGATGAGCTCCCTAGGTTTCTGAATAAACCAGATTCTTTCTGTTTATTCTGTTTACCACATCATCTCCTTCCGTTCAAAATTGTACTCATAAAAGTTACCAGAACTCTGGTGGACTGGAATCCCCCAAACAACTCCTGGAAATTCTTCTTGCTTTCCTCTATTCAGCCTTTGAGCTCAGTCTCTGAGCTTTAAAAAATTACAGTGTATTAACTGCATAAGTAATATTAATACACCTTTGTTGTAGAAAAATATAGAAAATAAAAGACGAAACCAATTACATACAAGCCATCTAAGGATAAGGGCATTAAGTATTTTGGCATATAACTTTCCATACTTTTTTCCTGTGCTTATGTATGTGTAACCATGATTTACAAAAATAATATTATACATGCTCTTTCATCATCTGCTGTTTTTACTCAACCATTTGTTTAGAAGATTTTTATGTTTCAGTAAATATACACCCACATAATCATTGTTAGCCACTATTTTTGATCGACATGTTTAGTGTCCTGTGGTCTCAGAGCTGACTGGGACCTTAGAGATGATATTATTTAACCTGCTTATCTGATAATATTAGGAAGGAAGCCAAGAGGAGCAAAATGGCTTTAGTGCTACATAGCTAGTGGAAGAGCCAGTATCAAGACTCACAACTCCTAACACGTCATCCTGCTTTCTTTCCACAGTTCCACAGACTCGTCCTCTTCCCTTCCAGCCATGTTCTCCCCTATTTCTTTTTCTTTTGAGACAGAGTCTTGCTCTGTTTCCCAGGCTGGAGTGCAGTGGCAGAATCTTGGCTCACTGCAACCTCCACCTCCCAGGTTCAAGCAGTTCTCATGCCTCAGCCTCCCAAGTAGCTGGGATTACAGGTGCGCACCCACGCTGGGCTAATTTTTGTATTTTTAGTAGAGACTGGGTTTCACCATGTTGGCCAGGCTGGTCTCAAATTCCTGACCTCAGGTGATCCACCCCCTTCAGCCTCCCAAAGTGCTGGGATTACAGGTGTGAGCCACTGCTCCCACCTTCTCCCCTTTTTCTGATACTCTCTTTGATATAGTTTGGATGTGTGTTCCTGCTCAAATCTCATATTGAATTGTAATCTCCAGTGTTGGAGGTGGTGCTTGGTGGGAGGTGACTGGATCATGCGGGTGGATTTCTCATGAATGGTCTAGCACCATCTCCCTAGGTACTGTCCTCATGACAGCGAGTGAGTTCTCATGAGATCTGGTTGTTTAAAAGTGTGTAACGCCTCCTCCCTCTCTCGTTCCTGCACCTGTTATGTGAGATGCCTCCCTCCCCCTTTGCCTTCTGCCATGATTGTAAGTTTTCCGAGGCCTCCCCAGAAGCCGAGCAGATGCCAGCACCATGTTTCCTGTACAGCCTGCAGAACTGTGAGCCAATTAAACCTCTTTTCTTTATAAATTACCCAGTCTCAGGTATTTCTGTATCACAATGTGAGATGGACTAATACACTCATGTTTCACAACTCTTATCCACAGGGGATGTCAGCTTCCACTTGAGCTCACACGCTTCATCTCCTCTCTCAGGGAGTTATTTCTTCAGCCTTCACCTATGGCCCAATTTTTCTTTTCTTGTACATTAACAATTAGCTTCTCTACAACTTAAAATTTCTTTCCTTGAGCTCCTGCTGTCAGATAATACTCCCAAATCCCTACTAACTCAGAAGATGGGCTGGGGGAAAGCTCTTTCCCATGGACAAATATGATTTAGAAGAGAAGGAAATGAATGAAGAACAGGTTTCCAGATCCCGCAGGTGTTGCTGTGAGGATGTCAGGTGCTGGCGCAGGTGTTGCTCTGAGGCTGTCAGGTGCTGGCATAAACAGCTGCAATTAGGGGTGCTGTTCATTGAGCGTGCCTGGCCCTCATAACTATGACTTCTATACTCGTTTCTCTCAGGGGACTGTGACCCTCCTGGGAATCCAGTTCATGGCTATTTTGAAGGAAATAACTTCACCTTAGGATCCACCATTAGTTATTACTGTGAAGACAGGTAAGTGAACACAGCCTGTCAAATGCCAGATCTTGCCCCTTGGCAGCATTGTTTTGGGGAATAACCCAGTCTGTGTCCACCTGGTCATCTGATTTCCTACTGCTGCAGGATTCTAAGCTCATTCTGATTTTGAGAGCTGCTTTGGCCCTCTGCTAGCTCTCCTCAATCCCTAGAAGACAGACTGATCCTACTAAAGTATCCTACTTACCCCAATGCAAGTATCTCTTTTTCCTCTCCGCCAAGACAAGATAAATTATTTAAAATGAATGGATTTGGCTGGGCGTGATGGCTCACACCTGTAATCCCAGCACTTTGGGATGCTAAGGCAGGCGGTTTGCTTGAGGCCAGGAGATCAAGACCAGCCTGGCCAACATGGCAAAACCCTTGTCTCTACTAAAAATACAAAAATTAGCTGGGCGTGGTGGCACACTCCTGTAATCCCAGCTACTCAGGAGGCTGAGGCATGAGAATCGCTTGAACCCAGGAGGCGGAGGTTGCAGTGAGCCTAGATGGCACCACTGCACTTTAACCCAGGTGGAAAAGTGATACTCTGTTTTAAAATAAATAAATAAATAAAATGTATGGGTTTTTTGTTTTTTTGTTGTTGTTATTTTTGAGACAGTGTCTCCCTCTGTCACCCAGGCTGGAGTGCAGTGGTGTACTCATAGCTCACTGCAACCTCTGCCTCCTAGGCTCACGAGATCCTCCCACCTCAGCCTCTCTAATAGCTGGGACTACAGGCATGGGTCACCACGCTTGGCTAATTTTTTAAGGTTTTGTAGAGACAGGGTCTCCCTATGTTGCTCAGGCTGGTCTTGAACTCCTGAGCTCAAGTGATCCTCCCACCTTGGTTTCCCAAAGTCCTGGAAAGTGCTGGAATTACAAACATGAATCACTGTGCCTGGCCTAAAATGTATGTTTTTCTAAAAAAAAAAAAAAAAAAAAATCAGAGAATATAAATACTAAAAAACAAACATAGAAGTGCAGAAATATAAAGACTTAGTGTATAGACCCTTAAAGCCCCCTAATTAACTCAGAGTCATGTGGCCTCACTGGCATTTCGATCTCGTTATATACCTTCAATGCACTTTGCAGGCAACTCTCATATTTTTCTGATGAAAAGCAATTGCTCCTTTTTAGCCCCTTCGCTAAGATTTATTTGCAGGTGTCTCTCATTTTCTACTCCTTTTTAGAGCTTAGATGCCAGATGCCTTTTTAGGTTATTGAATGATAAAGTGCTTCTATCACTCTCCCCACCCAAAACCTGGGTGTGTAAACACCTGATTCAGAATTTCTCACTTCTCTATGTTTTATGGGTTGACTCATCACTTGGGTCCTCTCCTACCTCCAGGAAAATGGTTTTACTTTGAACTGCTTTGTAATACCGAGATAACTTAAGCATGCATTGAGGCTCAAGGGCAGGGAGGTGGATTCCATCACAGCATGAAATACTGAAATACAACTACACAAAACCAGTCTCCATTACCCAATTCAGAAAGTGGAAAAGCTAAGCCTTGTTCTAATTTCTGTTCAGGTACTACTTAGTGGGCGTGCAGGAGCAGCAATGCGTTGATGGGGAGTGGAGCAGTGCACTTCCAGTCTGCAAGTTGATCCAGGAAGCTCCCAAACCAGAGTGTGAGAAGGCACTTGTAAGTAGGAGGCTCATATCTGTCTTGTTCACAGCTGGATCTCCAGGGCCTGGCATCACTCCTGGCATATGCTCAGTATATATCTGTTTAATGTGGGACATTTTGCTTTTGAATGGGTTGGCCTTGGCCTGGCTGTAGAAGGGACTCATAAACTATTAACTCACATTTTTATAAATGGAAGTTGGAAGTTCCCATTCACTACCATCATCACAAATACCTCATGAGACCCTGTTGGTAGAAGTTGTTGTCTCATGTGCCTTATAGAGCAGTGGTTCCCAACCTTTTTGGCACCAGGGATGGGTATCATGGAAGATGACTTTTCCACGGATGGGGGTGGGGAGAGTGGGGATGGTTTGGGGATGATTCAGATGCATTACATTTATTGTGTACTTTATTTCTATTATTATTACATTGTAATATATAATAAAATGATTATATAACTCACCATAATGTAGAATCAGTGGGAGCCCTGAGCTTGTTTTCCTGCAACTAGAGGGTCCCATCTAGTTAGGAGTGATGGGAAACTGACAGATTATCAGGCATTAGATTCTCATCTGGGAGTGTTGGGAAACAGTGACAGATCATCAGGCATTAGATTCTCATCTGGGAGTGATGAGAGACAGTGACAGATCATCACACATTAGAATCTCATCTGGGAATGATGAGAGACAGTGACAGATCATCAGGCATTAGAATCTCATCTGGGAGTGATGGGAGACAGTGACAGATCATCAGGCATTAGATTCTCATCTGGGAGTGATGGGAGACAGTGACAGATCATCAGGCATTAGATTCTCATCTGGGAGTGATGGGAGACAGTGACAGATCATCAGGCATTAGATTCTCATCTGGGAGTGATGGGAGACAGTGACAGATCATCAGGCACTAGATTCTCATCTGGGAGTGATGGGAGACAGTGACAGGTTACCAGGCATTAGACTCTCATAAAGAGGGGTCAACCTAGATCCCTCGCATGAGCAGTTCACAATAGGTTTCACGCTCTTATGAGAATCTAATGCCACCTCTGACCTGACAGGAGGTGGAGCTCAGGCAGCAATGTGAGCAAAGCAGAGTGGCTATAAATACAGCTGAAGCTTTGCTTGCCTGCCCGCTGCTCACTTTCTGCTGTGTGGCCCAGTTCCTAATAGTCCGTGGACCGGTACCGGTCTGTGGCCCTGGGGTTGGGGATCCCTGTTATAGAGCAAAGCACATAAGCACAATGCGTGAGAATTGGAAAAGTCTCTAAAATTCTTCTAGGCTCCAAAACTAAACAAACAACACTGAACAGATCCATTTTCATTGAGATTCTTCTTTTAGTTCATATTTATTACTGGGATAATATTAATAAGTATATTTAAGCCAGAAAATATAAATGATTTGCCATGTTGAAAACCCAAATCTTTACTTAAGCTAGCCTGGTTCTGAGCCCCCATTCAGAGAGCTAACTGCTGCTCACTGGCTTCAGAGTATATAGCTGGGTCTCAGTCCTTATGTTGTAACTTGTGAAAAATTTTCTTTCTTCAGCTTGCCTTTCAGGAGAGTAAGAACCTCTGCGAAGCCATGGAGAACTTTATGCAACAATTAAAGGAAAGTGGCATGACAATGGAGGAGCTAAAATATTCTCTGGAGCTGAAGAAAGCTGAGTTGAAGGCAAAATTGTTGTAACACTACAGCTGAGCAGATGTAATAGAAATAAACCTATGAATAAATTTTCTTCTTGGTTCTGAAATTGGTTTCAGATTTACCTCTTATTGGGCTGAAATTGCCAACAGCAGTTGTATAATGCACCATGTGTGTGTGTGTGTGTGTGTGTGTGTGTGTGTGTGTGTATGTGTGTGTGTGTGTGTGTGTGTGTTGTTCTCAGAATGTGAAAAGGCCAAATGTAGTGGTTGTCTAAGGCCAGAATTAGCAACATATTATTGGAGAATAGAGGGCTTAATTTCCAGTCTGTAAGGAGAATGGAAAACTCTGATCTCAGCCGAGAGAGTAACTCGTATTTTAACATGAGACCATGAATTATGAAACCAAAACTAACCGCAACTTATGAGGCAAAAATTAACCTTCCATTTTGGAAAAGATGCTTAGAATAGTTACATCCTTAAAAATGACCCACTGGGACAGAAGGAGAGCTAGGACCCAAATTCTCCTCCCAGTCTTGCCCACATCTGGCTTACGGAAACAGGTTTCCAAAGCTGCAGGAAAATTGCTTACTGCCTCTTGAATGAAACCTGGTCCTGCATGATAAATTAGAGATGGTGCAACACAAGTGAATATATTTCTTCTCTTTTTTAGAAACAAAAATTTTATATTATTTTTTACTTACAATTCTCCTTTTTTAGAGGGTAGAAGAAATAAGAATCCTAAGGCTTTCAATCAAAATGTCATACTGAGCTGGCATGACAAGCTTCTCCCACCTCTCGTCCTGACTGCTACCTGAAACACGTAGGATATCTAGATAAAGTGCAACCAAAATATATAAGCCAGCTTGAAATAATGGAAAATCGCTAGGTAAAGTTATGAAGGGGAATAAGAGATGGACTCTTGAGTACCCCAGAGTCTACTAATAGGCACAAGACATGTACACACGTAGCATTATTTTAGAGTGGTTAGAATGAACTAAACATTTTCAGACAACAGTGGGCTATGAGAGCTCAGATGAGAGGAGGTTCACTTCTGTCTGGGAGGAGGAGGCAGGAATATTGTCAAGGAAGAAGTCACAGTTATTTGGGCCTTCAAAAGTAAGTGAGAATTAGAGACAAAGATTAAAGAGCTCATTCCAGTTGGAAAGAATATTTGAGAAATGGAGTAAGACAATAATAAGATTTAAAACCAATTTTTTTTTTTGAGATGGAGTTTCGCTCTTGTTGCCCAGGCTAGAGTGCAATGGCGTGATCTCAGCTCACCACAACCTCTGCCTCCTGGGTTCAAGCGATTCTCCTGCCTCTGCCTCCTGAGTAGCTGGGATTACAGGCATGCGCCACCATGCCCGGCTAATTTTGTATTTTTAGTAGAGACGGGGTTTCCCTATGTTGGTCAGGCTGTCTCGAACTCCTGACCTCAGGTGATCTGCCCGCCTCGGCCTCCCAAAGTGCTGGGATTACAAGCATGAGCTACCACGCCTGGCCAATAATAAGATTTTTAACCAAGTAAATTCATTCCTAGGATTAATCTAACTGGAGGAAAATGATTTGAAATTGAAGCTACTTCTTATTTGTACATATTATCTATCTAGGAGGATCTTATGAGCATTTGAAATGTCTACTCTTAGGAAAATTTTGAATAAATTATGGTACTTTAAATGTAATGCAGACCTATATGGTGATAAATATGAGGAAGTAGAAAATCTTAAAAATACAATCTTAAGTAAAAATAGAATATTTAATAACAAGGGCTTATGATTGCATTTATGTAAAACCTTTATTCTTGTGGGAAAGGATTAGACAATAATAGGCACAGATAAAAACATTTGTCTTAGAATATGAAATTATAAGTGTTTATTCTCTTAAAACTTTTTAATGTTGTAAAATGAATTTCTAATAATAATTTTAGAAGGCATTGCACAGAGGCAGAAAAAATGGGATATGTTTAGGAACTTGCACATAGCCTGGACTGGCCTAGATGAAGCATGGAAATTGGTGAGAGAGAAGGTGGCTGGAAAGATAAGTCAAAGCCAGTTTATGGAGGCTTTTGAATGACGTGCTAGAGAATATACACTTGTTTTTGGTAGGCAGAGAATATACATTTGTTTTTTGGCAGTCAGACCATGAAGACATGGAAGCCTTGCAAACAATGAAGTAATAAGGACAGAACATAAAGAAAGATTTCTCTCACAATGTTGGTTGTAGTATTGGTTGATGAGGGAAAAGAACTAAGAGAAACCAACGAAAGGACTCCTACAATAGTCCATATGGGAGGCATTATCAACCTGAACTGGTTTGGTGGCAGCAGAAATGAAAAAGCAGCAGCAGACACGAGAGATATTGAAAACTTGTATCAAAACAACCTGTCAACTAATCAAACATTGAAGGGTGAGGGAGAGGAAGAGTTCAAAAGTGAATCTGAAATTTTATTCCCGAGAACCAGAGGTCAGAAAAAGCTGGGGTCAGAAAGTGAAGCTTGTTGGCCGGAAATGAGAAATTCCTCTTTGGATGTGCTGAGGGTGAAGTGCTTGCAAGATGTCCAGTGGGGGGAAAAAAAAAACAAAACCTAAGAAAGTAAGTCTTGAGTTTCGGAGAGTAATCAGAAATAATAATGTAGTGCTGGCTAGTCTTCTTACTGGTAATAGTTAAAGCTGTGACAGAAGGCAAGATCATTAAAATTGCGAAGATAATTTTTTTAAAAAAAGAAGAGCCTGAGATATATCTATATTTAGGAATGAGAAGGAGGAAGAGAAGGTAACAGTAACTAAGAAAGAGAAATTAGTTAAGTTAAGGGAATCAGGTAAGTTTAGTGTCATGGAAGCCAAAGGAGAAGAGAGTTTCAGAAAGGAAATGATCAGCAGTGACAAAGGCTGCAGACAGATCCTAAGAAATGAATTAAAGATATTTTGGACTTGGACCTAAGGGCGTGCCTCAGAGAGACATGTCAGTAGAAGAGTGGTAGAAGCCAGATGGGAAAGCAACAGGTGGAGTGATGAATGAGAAAGAACAGGCAGGTAGAACAAGTCACACCTTTGAGAAGTTCAGCATCACACTAAAGAAGAAAGGTGGAATTTGAGGTATTGGCAAAATTGAAGGGACATTTCAGGATGAGAGATGCATTGAAAATGAGGCAGGAAAAGAAGAAACAATTCTCCTCGGAATGAGGAGTGAATAGGAGGGAAAATTTGACATTGATGAAGCTAAGGTAGAATGATTTTTAGTAAAGTAGGAGGTAAGAGCATCTGCTGAGAGGGAATGTGACAATTTGGTGACCTGGAGAGAAAAATCTGCAAGAGTCACTGTGGAAAGTAAACGAAAGGACTTCAATACATTGGAAAACGGTACTTTAAAGAAATAGCAGCTTTAAAGGTGATATTTCTTCCAATTTAGTCTCAAGACTGTGCAATCTGGAATCCTCCTCTATCTTCATTCTGGTCAAATCAGTGTCTCACCTTGGTGACCTAGCGCATGGTTTCTTTACATCTAATATCCTTACCACTTTTATCTAATAATTTCTACCTTTTATCCAAATCTCACATCTTCTGTAGAAACTTCCTTGATTAACTCAACCTGTTGTAGTTTAGTTCCTTTTCTGAAACTCTTCTGGGACTTTCAGTATTTATTACAGAAAAAGTGAAGTTCTCAGAAAGAATTGCCTTTTAATAGCAATCTTCTGAGCACACAAATCTTAACCTTGAGGATTAGTAGCTTAATTGGACTATGTAAGTGCTTGTGGTCTTTTTAGATCTATGCGAGAGGAAACATGGCCGGTCCTTCATTGCGTTCTTCTGAGCGCACTGGATAGATCAATTTTTGGAGGCCCTCTGGTGCCTGACATGTAGTAGCAGTTAACATTTGCTGAACTCCAAATACGTTCTAGATAACTCAGCACATAGTGGAAACCCAATGCATGTTTGATAAATTCCCCACCTTTTGTAATTCCTTGGGGTGGGATAGAGACGAGCTCTGGGCAAGAATATCAGTTTTCAAACTCCAGGAAAGCATACTGGACCTAGTGTCATGGAAAGTGGATCATTTTTGCGGAGGCTCTCTGAACCTCGCAGTATCCAAGGTTTCCAGGCTAGCTGGACTGTGTCTTGCCATAACCCTTATGTGTTTATGAAAAGAAAAAAGAATTCTGGCTTCAAATTCAAATTACCTTTCCACTTAGGGGAAATGGTTGGCAGAGGAGAAAATAAACGATTGCGACATGTTACGAAGAATGAGGACTAGCAAAGAGGAAGGAGCTTAGGTAAACAGTGCTGCTTTATTTCTGCTGTTAATCATTCATTGGGCCCGTCAAAAGTTTCTGCCCATCTATTTCCATCAACCGTCCTTGACCAGCCAACCACATGGCTGAAATTCAGGGACTCTTTGGTGGAGCAATTACCAGTCAACTTCAGGGTATTATGATAAACTCTGATCTGGGGAGGAACCAGGACTACATAGATCAAGGCAGTTTTCTTCTTTGAGAAACTATCCCAGATATCATCATAGAGTCTTCTGCTCTTCCTCAACTACCAAAGGTCGGTGGACTACTAAACCCTTGGGGAAGCTTGGAGGAAAGGCTGGTGGTTTGGCCCTTTAAGGAGTGCAGGATTAGAAGGATAAAACAGAGACAAAAGCTTGGAGGTGTTTTCAGCAGAAATCTTTTCAGGAGCACTGTATTAGGGGGATGTAAGACTTGAGACGTACTTTAAACCCTATCTGAACCTCAAGTTTTAAAAATTATAAATGGAGGAATAATATTGCATTCTAATAAAATAAGCTAAAGAAGAAGAGGTGTAAGGTGTTGCTCTTGTTACTGTATCTAAAAGACAGATGTGTTGGTTTGTTGATCTTTCACCACCTTCCCACATCAGAGTTGAGGCAAGGGGTCAATCAGACTTTTCAAAGGGTTCACAGGAAGCTTGCTTTTCTTAGTCTACATTCTGAAAACTGGGGCCATTTCTATTTTGAGATTTGATTAACCACTCCAAATCTCCTCCACCACTGACAGCAAAGATGTTTAGATTTGGTAATAAGGAGGACACTGGCCAGCCTCCAGTTGGTTTCTGAAGCTAGCAGTCTTAGTCGTCCTCATCTTCTTTACTTTCTGAATTTGACGATGCTGATAACCCTTCCTTCTTGAAATTCTCTTCTTCCTTGGTTGGCCAGGATACAGTACCATTCTGGTCCTCATTTTAATTCTTCAACCACTTGTCTCTTTGCTGATTCCTATTCTATCTCTAAATATGGTAACACCAAAAGAATAAAAAGTAGACTACAGAAGAGGCAGAAGCATCAAAGAAGGTTGGCATTAAGCTTAGAGATATGTTTGAATGTAGTATGAGCACAGAATAAAGGGGCTGATAGAAAAATAAAGAGATTTGGCCAGGTACGGTGGCTCACTCCTGTAATCCCAGCACTTTGGGAGGCCGAGGCTGGCGGATCACCTGAGGTCGGGAGTTCGAGACCAGCCTGACCAACATGGAGAACCCCTGTCTCTACTAAAATTACAAAATTAGCCAGGCATGGTGGCACATGTCTGTAATCCCAGCTACTTGGGAGGCTGAGGCAGGAGGATCATTTGAACCAGGGAGGCAGAGGTTGGGGTGAGCTGAGATCGTGCCATTGCACTCTAGTCTGGGCAACAAGAGTGAAACTCCACCTCAAAAAAAAAAAAAAAAGAAAAAAAAAAGAGATTCTAGGAAGGGTGGGGAAAGTGTGGGAGCCAGTTCTTTCTGGAGTTTGTAAGTGATATAATTGAGAGCCCAGGTATAAGGAAGAAGACACTCAGCCCGAGACTGGAGAAAAATACTATCCTTTCACAAGGTATCTGCATTTTAAAAGGGGGAAGTTAGACAAAATAAATATTAACTTAAAAAGTAACTTCTCATGGAAGGAGAAATTTGAGGACTAAAGATTTTTCCAGTGACTCTCAAATTGCACTGCATTGCTAAGTGCTGATATTATTTTTCACAAGGGACCCGCCATGCTGACTAAAGTTCTTGAGTTGGTTCCATTTCTGCAGGAATTTAAAAGGTGAAGTCCTTGAAATATGAAAGTTGGCTAGAGTAGTCTCAGCTTTTCAGTGAGCAGTTACAGAATTGCAGAATTTGTTCATCTAGGTTTAATGTCATTATTTTAGAGATGGAGGGAACTGATATCCAAGAAGCTGATATAGCTTCTTCAAGATCACAGACTTAGACTGTGGTATTGCTGGAACTCCAACTTGTGTCTTCTCAGCTCGCAAGTTCTAGCCTCCATTCCCATACTCTGTGGCCAGCTGGTTTCTGCTGAGGGACCACCAGGAGTAGTTATGGTGAACTGCAAATGCCGTAGTTGGAGAAGAGTTAGGATGCATCCTGATGGTTTGTTAGGGAAGTCTAGTCACTGTATTATCTCTCTTCAAAACTGACAAAGCATTTCACACACATTATTTCATTTGGTCCTCAGTGAGACAGTCATTCTCATTCTAAAGATAAAATTAAATTGACTTTCATTCCTTTTAGATTTATTATTGTTTATTCTGTCTTATTCCTTCCTCCGTGTAAGTTTTTTTTTTTTTTTTGAAACGGAGTCTCGCTTTGTTGCCCAGACTGGAGTGCGGTGGTGCAATCTCTGCTCACTGCAAGCTCCGTCTCCCGGGTTCACAGGCCATTCTCCTGCCTCAGCCTCCCGAGTAGCTGGGACTACAGGCGCCCGCCACCACGCCCAGCTAATTTTTTGTCTTTTTAGTAGAGACAGGGTTTCACCGTGTTAGCCAGGATGGTCTCGACTTCCTGACCTCGTGATCTGCCTGCCTTGGCCTCCCAAAGTGCTGGGATTACAGGCGTGAGCCACTGCACCCGGCCTCCTCTGTGTAAGTTTTAAGCTAGTTAAATTCTGGTGCTCAAATTAGGTCTTTCTAAAGGCAGTGAAAGAAATCTCTGCGAAATAAGGAGGAACTCTTTTCTCTTCCTCTGCATCTGCAAAAAAGCAGATGATAATCTGCGTGATAAAACTGACCTTGCAAATGTTTTTTTTTAACAAAGGAGTCACGGGGTTATATAGACCAATTACAATACCACGTTAGAGATGGAAAGTTGAATAAACACCTTCCTTGTCTTCAAGGAATTCACAATGTATTTCGGGAGGCAAAAGCAAATAGATAGTTAGGATACAAAACAATGCTACAATTAAGGTATTAGCCAAGTACTAGAAGAACAGAAAACACTGGCATTTCATGATGAAGTCAGGCAATGCTTCACCAAGGAGGTGACATTTGATCTGAATAGTGAGTAAAGGAATAGTGAGTAAAGGAGAAGTTGGAGGTAAGAGCATTAATGCATGGGAGACATTAACTGCAAATGCTTGCAGGTGTTTTTTAAAAAAATCCTGGCTTTGTATGGTGGCTCACGCCTATAATTCCAGCACTTTGGGAGGCCGAGGTGGGAGGTTCACTTGAGGCCAGGAGTTCAAGACCAGCTTGAGCAACATAGTGAGACCCCTGTCTTTACAAAAAATTAAAAAATTAGCTGGGTGTGATGGCACGCTCCTGTGGTCCCAGCTACTGGGGAGACTGAGGTGGGAGCATCATTCGAGTCCAGGAGGTTGAGGCTGCAGTGAGCTGTGATTGCACCACTTCACTCCAGCTTGGGTGACACAGAGTGAGACCCTGTCTCAAAAAAGAAATCCAGAATGTTTTTGGGGAAGGGTAAGTGCCTCCTTGAGACTGAAGCATGGTGTTCTAAGTGAGAAATGATGGGAAAACTGGGACAGATAGGGGAACCTATGGAAACTGGGAACCATGAATGTTTTTAAGCAGAGTAACAACACATAAATTGCTTTTTAGGGACATAATGGCATCAACATGGAAGCTGGCTTATAAATGTTTGAAGGCTTTTGCAGTGGTCTAGGGTGAGGGGAAGGGAATTATAGGAACCTAAACCTGGACTATGGAAGTGGAGTGTTGGAGAGAGTGGCAGATTCTGGTGCAGCTGCTATGACCAACTTGATAGGACTTGACGACTCTGAATAGTGCAAGGAGGTGAGACAGAGGAGGCAATAATGACTTGGATTTCTAGTCTGGGAGGCTGGGTGGAGATTGTCACCTTCACTGAGACAGAAAGCACAGATATTAAGTAGTGTTGGAGGAACATAGTGAATTTAGTTTGAAACATGTTAAATTCAAGGTGCCTGGGAGATACAAATGAAGTGATTGGAAATATTGATTTGAACCTTGGGAATTTTAACTTAAATTATTATTATTATTATTATTTGCTTAAATGAGAAATCTAACAGAGTCAAAAAGTTTTAGTTTACTTTCAAGTTTGCAGATAAAGAGGAAAGTGTAATAATTATTTCTGGATTTGGCAAGGAAAACTCACAAGCACTTATAACTTTCAGTAAACAGAAATGTTTATTTAAATATTATTCCAGAAAAAAAAATTCACTAAGATAACCAGTCAGAATTACACTTTTCTGAGGTTAAAATTACTGTCATGTGGCAGAGCAATCTCTAAAATCCAGGAACGACTCCTTTGTTAGAAAAAACATTTGCAAGGTCAGTTTTGTCACGTAGATTATCATCTGCTTTTTTGCAGCTGCAGAGGAAAAGAGTTCCTCCTTATTTTACAGAGATTTATTTCATTGCCTTTAGAAAGACGTAATTTGAGCACCAGAATTTAACTAGTTAGCAACCAGAGTAAAGAAGACAAGCCTGAATAGCTTAAAACTTACACGGAGGAAGGAATAAGACAGAATAAAATAATTATTAACAATTGAATTTATGGAGCATGGAAGTTTTTGCATGAACCAGAGACAATTAGGCCCAGAGGTCTGTGGGTGATTCATTTTATTTATTTATTTATTTTTGAGACGGAGTCTCTCTGTCGCCCAGGCTGGAGTGCAGTGGTGTGATCTCGGATCACTGTAACCTTTGCCTCCCGGGTTCAAGCGATTAACCTGCCTCAGCCTCCTGAGTAGCTGGGATTACAGGCGTGCACCACCACACCCAGCTAATTTTTGTATTTTTAGTAGAGACGGGGTTTCACCATGTTAGTCAGGCCGGTCTTGAACTCCTGACCTCGTGATCTGCCCGCCTCAGCCTCCCAAAGTGCTGGGATTACAGGCGTGAGCTACCGCGTCTGACCTGTGGGTGATTCAGGTATGATGATTAAAGTTATGGATGTGGATGACTTCCTTTCAGGAAGATAGTTGAGGGCAAGGGAAGACAAAGCCCCAGGACAGCCCCAGAGGCCCCAGCATTCCTCTGCTGTGCATGACACATTAGATCTCACTGTACCAAAGGCCACAGTGGAGACCAGATCCAGGGCTTCTAGCCGGAAGTTCAGTGGATGCTCCTCTGCACTGGGGTGTAATTAAAGTCCCTGGTGATGCAACCATTTATTGCAATTTTAAATCATTATGATGACAATGTTTTGACATCCAGGAGTTTGGCTTCTGACAGAGTGACATTCCAATGCCAATTCTATGAAACTCTTCCCTATAATTTCTTTTGAATGTTTACTATGTGCTGTCCACACACCATGCCAAGCCCCTCTCAGAAATTCCGAGATATAATTACAGTTATCCTTCTTATTTTATAATAAAGGAAACTGAGGCTTAGAGGAACTGAGTGTTTTGTCCATGGGACTCGGTTCCCATGTGGTAGAGCCAGGACGCCAACTCACATGTTCTGGGTGTGACTCCAGAGCCCATGCCCAAGGTCTTGGCCACACTGTCCTCCTCTGTCCCCAGCTCTGTGGCCATGGCCTAGGTGTGAGGATGAAGTAAAGGGAGTGAAATAACTTCCTCATCACAGTGTAGGGTCTGCATTTGTCTGTATCTCCTGTCATAACCTGTGGAAGGAGGAGAACCAGTTTTTGCCTACTGCTTCCCTCCTTCACTGTCCTCCCTTGACTAGTTGATGATATGATGACTTCAGTTTAAGAATGGAAGAGCCTAGAGTAAAATTATTTGGGCCAGTTCTCATTAAAATACAGGTGTTTGCCTTGCTTTAAAATCAGGTAAAATCAGTCCTTAACAAAGCATACACTGTAAGGGGAGACACTGATATGGCACAGTACTACTTTTCTTTGGAACACACGTTATCACTAGGAGCTTTTGGATTTAAATTCAATGCACATTTTGTGAGCACTTTAACTTCATGAGGCGCAGGCTAGGTACTATTGTGGGGCAGAAATAAATGGGAGCATACTCTGTCATTTCAAGGATCTTGTGGTTTAGTGGTGAAGGCAGACTTCAGATGTGAGTTACAGACCAAGTCCGAATCAGAGTTATAAATACAAAATTGTACTTGGTATGTGGAGGCTTGCTTGGATAGGAGGGAATGCTGGAGAAGGGACTGGCAGAATGAGTAGGAATTAAAGAGGAAAAAGAGAGAGGGTAGATGATGTGGACAGGAATGGGAGATAGGAAAGTGCTGGGAATGGTAAGGAATTCTGGTTGTCCAGGATAGCTGGAGCCTAAGGGGTCAGACCACAATACCGAAAAGTTAGTCATCAAAGCCAATTGAGTGAATGCCAGTACTTGAAGGATCAGTTCATAGAAATAAATTTGCTGAATTTATCAAAGTATCAATTTATCTAACATTGTTTCAAGAAACATTCATTTTGGAGGCCAGGCATGGTGGCTTATGCCTGTAATCCCAGCACTTTGGGAGGCCGAGGCGGGAGAATTGCTTGAGGCCAGGAGTTTGAGACCAGCCTGGGCAACATAGTAAGATCACATCTCTATTACAATTTTAGAAAAGAAAAAGAAAAAGAAATCATTTTGAGTATTCAATGAGTATAAATATATCCTTTTTGAATGTAGCTAATGAATACATATTTTAGTGGCATTTAAGATATTTTTGTTCAACTTCTTGAAGCTAATGATTTAATCTTATGGTTGTATTTTTGTAAATATAGTCATGAATATTTTTCTGAACATATTCAACATATATATTTTTCTTGTGAATGTAATAACAACTGCAACAATTCCTAGGGGAAATTTCCACTTTCTACTCTTATCCTTTTGATTTTTCATAGTCAATTCTATTTTGCCACCCCACTGGTGTTTTTAATCTCTTTCTTCAATTTCACTGAAATTCAATAAACACAACAAATCTACTCATTGTCAAAAATTGAAGAAACTTTTTCCCATAGTTTTCATAGTTCATAACATATCTTATTGGGTGGGAGAAATTTGTCACATTTTATGAATTTCACAGATGATGAGTGAGGTGGTTTTCATGATATGCAACCTGCCTGGCTCTCAGCTGTCTCCAGCTTCACAAGATTGTGAGGGCAGAGAGGAGCATAGAGTTAGGAAGGAGGATAATGGGAAAAAAGAGGGGGAAACTGAGTAGAAAGGGGAAGTATGAAGTCCCAGAATGTTGGTCCTGGCTCCTCCCAACCTCTCTAGACCACCTGGATTCATTCAGTACAAAGTCTGTGAACACATTTCCAGTAAGTGACTACAACTGGTAAATTGCTCGTTAGGTGAATTTACGTATTGGCAGAATTGCCCCGGTGGGGATGTATAGAGCTCATGGGACAGGACGTGTGTGACATGGGGTTCCCACAGCTGACAACAGGTGGAGGGATGGCTTCATCAGAACTAAGTTTTAGAAAGAGAAGAAGCTTATGTGAGTCTTTACTCAATGAAGAAATTAGACCCCACAAAGAATGAAGGGCACTATAAACTTCCCTTCTCCCACACAGTTTCTCTCCAAGATGTTTCAGTCCCACATTATGTAAGACTGGCCCATATTACTGAGACCAGCTTTATGTTGAGGGACTGAACATTACCTTAGATATACATTACATTACAGTCCTACATTATGTGGGACTGAAACATCTTGGGGAGAAATATTGATTGAAGGGACTCCCTTTACCTAAATGTATATGGGCTTTGTATGAATTATGGATGCACGAGAGCGTCCAACCATCTGGATCTAACAAAGATGTCAAAGTAAAGGATGAAATTCACTATTTTATGGGAGTGAATTTGGTTAACTTCATATATTCCTTTGAAGACAAGGACTATTTCTTTTCTTAATTTTTTATTTTTATAGATTTACAGTACAGAGATTTCTTAAAAAACTAAAAATAGAACTCCCCTTTGATTCCCACTATTGAGTATCTACCCAAAGGAAAGGGACTTTTTCCTAACACAAACTTAGGATATGTTGTGTTCTCCAAAGGGAATGGGAAGTGGTGATGAAGATTAAAAAAAAAAGTCCTTACTAATTTTGCTTTAAACAAGTCTATATAGTCTGATTTAAAAATAAAAGTGCATTTGCCATGTATATTTTTCATATATATATATGTGTGTGTGTGTGTTTATGATCATTTTTCAAAACTGCAAATTGCTTCATGGTTTATTGCCTTTGTCAATAGTTCTCACAAGGAACTCCCAATACTTCTATACGGCGACTCAACTCTTTCTCTCTATCCCATCATTTTCCTGCCTTTTTGTTTTTTTTTTTTTTTTTTATGTTTGTACCTTTCTTTTAAGTCCTCTGTCATTTCTTTGTTAGATCATCTGGCCAATTGCAAGTCTTCTCACTCAACCTCCCTGTTTCTTTCCTCTAATCCCTTTAATTTATCTTGTGCATGTCTGCCATAATGATCTTAAAGCATAATAATTATGTCATTCCTCAGCTTAAAAACAAACATTCACATCAAAAACAAGCACTTTTATTCCCCAAGGAGTAAAGTCTATGAATTTCCTAAACTTGACGTTTACATCCCACTCAGACACATCTGTAAACTGTCCCTTCCCCATCTCAGACATTCAGCCAAATTGGAATATTATCTATTGTTCCCTCAACATGCCCTGCATCCATTCTGCAGTGTCTTCAGTATACCTAGTGCAGATGCAGTCTCCTCTGCAAAGCCCACTCCCTCCCTCCACTTGGAATCAATCTCTCTTCTGAGCTCACAGCTTCTGCAGAGGCCAATCCTTACTGTCTTGTGCTGTAACATTTGTGCTCAGGGGTTTTTTTGTTTTGTTTCCACTCCAGGCTGTCATTTCCTTGAAGACATGGATCCCATAACATTTATTCTAGTGCTTTATGACAAGTTGGAATTCAATGACTATTTATTAAATTGAGTTCTTTCAGCAGAAAAACATCAGCGAAGCAGCAGGCCATGCACCCCCCAAAAACTCCATCTGGGGCTCTTCATAGAAAAAGGAAAATGGCAGCCTGGCCCTTCTCCAGGCTGTGGAAAGTCTCTGATCCAATTCTCTTCCAAATGACCTTGATCGCTGCTCTGTTGCCTGCTGTTCTTGGTGAGTAGTGGGAAACAAGCTCAAATCAGCAACAAACAATGAAGATCATCTGTGCATTCACTTTTAAGGCTAAAAAAAATGATGACTGAGCTTCTAGCAGAGACCCAGCTTCATCAACAAGTGGTTTATTTGACAGGCTAGAACTTAGGGAAATTTGCTTTACACATAAAGGAAATAGTGTTATAGACACTTTCCCCTAGATTTTTATTTCTCCAGGAAAGAATTTCTCTCCCAACCATCTATATGGATGATAATATGGACAGATCTATATTATCTATTACTATGACTAAACAATTTTCACTGTTTGTGGGTTTATTCAGGGGGTGCTTAAAAAGTAAATCAGCCTGGTACTTAATTCTTGCAAAAAAAGCAAAGTTAAGATTTTTATGCTTCAAGGGCTCCATGCTTCTTCCTCCATATCATTCAAAATCAAACAGATGTAAAAAAAATAAATTAAAAATGTTATTTTTACCCATTTCCCAGCCACCCTGTTTCCCTTCCCTGAGGCAACCAAAGTTATATAATGTTATTTGAATACAATAATATGTTTCTGTTGAGGCAACTTGTAGTGACTTCTGACTTTGCACAGATGCATTTGAGTCAGCAGATATGGGGAGTCAGGTTGGTGAAGTTCATGTCTTTCTTCTTTTTCAGATAAATTATCCCATATGTAGCAGAGAAGGGAAAAAAATTCTGCCTTTTATCATTATTGTTTATTGTTATCATTGTCATTATCATTTGTGAACAAATATATATTACTGATCACTCACTAGGTGTATTGAACAGAGAGTATAATAGGAGTTATGATTTTTCTTGACTAGAGATCATTCTTGAAAAGAACGATCCCTGCTCTAAACATCACACTTCAGAAACAATAAGATGCTGTGTCCCAAGGTATAAGTTTTGGTGCTCCTTCTCATTTTGGTGTCCAGGCAATTGTGGTCCTCCACCCACTTTATCATTTGCTGCCCCGATGGATATTACGTTGACTGAGACACGCTTCAAAACTGGAACTACTCTGAAATACACCTGCCTCCCTGGCTACGTCAGATCCCATTCAACTCAGACGCTTACCTGTAATTCTGATGGCGAATGGGTGTATAACACCTTCTGTATCTGTAAGTATCAACATTTATTTTTTTCCTTTGCTTTTCCTATCTTTGGAAAGTTGTCTCAGAAACTAAATTTTCTGAATCTTTAGTCACCAAGAAGACAGTTTGTCAATTACTGATTTCAATGTACATACTTGTGGCATTTTTTGAAAAAGCAAAACAGAAAAATTAGGGGTAGTTAATTGCATTGAAAAATAACTCTGTTCTTTTTTTTTTTTTTTTTTTTTTTTTTGAGACAGAGTCTAGCTCTGTCTCCCAGGCTGGAGTGCAGTGGTGGAATCTTGGCTCCCTGCAACCTCTGCCTCCTGGTTTCAAGTGACTCTCCTGCCTCAGCCTCCTGAGTAGCTGGAATTACAGGCGTGCACCACCACACCTGGTTAATTTTTCTGTTTTAAGTAGATACAGGGTTTCACCATATTGGCTAGACTGGTCTCAAACTCCTGACCTCAAGTGATCTGCCTGCCTCGGCTTCCCAAAGTGCTGATATTACAGGTATGAGCCACTGGGCCTGGTTAGAAGTCTATTCTTTATAAAGTAATCCACCAAACACTTCTTTCAAGAAAAGAACCACAAATTTCATTATGATCTATTGAAAATCAGATTCACTTTTTAAAAAATTATAAAAAAGGTAGGTGGCTAGAAAGAGGCAATGCAGTTTTCAAAAGAACCTCACTCAAAATATTTGCTGTGTTTTGAAGAAAAGTTATAATTCACTGTCAGTTGGGAATGCATTCTGTGATGTTTTCCAATAGCAGGGGTATACAATCAATACTTTCTCTTTTTTGTTCCTTTTGTGACATGCATTTTTTAGTGGCCTAGGTTCTAAGTACATGCCATAGACATAGAATGAAGCAAAGCTCTCCCGTCCCTGGTCAGCTTATTAAGTCCTGGACCACGTGTTCTGCTGCTGCAATTATTTAACTGGTCATTTTTCTCTATTGGTAAAATGTACCAGAAAAAAAGGTGATCAAATTTTGTATTAATTTTGAGGTGAGTCAGGGTTAGAAATAAGTTTGAATCTAAATCTCTCTGTGTTTCTGGAAGCAGAGGTGAACCTTGGTTAATTTCTTTTCTTTTCTAATGCCATATCTGTGAGTACTTGGAAGTACTAATCATCATTTAAATTTTTCTCCCAGACAAACGATGCAGACACCCAGGAGAGTTACGTAATGGGCAAGTAGAGATTAAGACAGATTTATCTTTTGGATCACAAATAGAATTCAGCTGTTCAGAAGGGTGAGTGTGAGGTAATCTATGAACAATTCTTTTATATTTATTTAAAAAATAGCTGAAGTGTTCGTATATTTCAAAATTTAAAATGATGTAAAAAGATAGACGTTGAGAATTCTCATTTCCATCCTATCTCCATACACCACATTCCTTCCCGTCCTCAAGCAAAGATCTATTTTTATTGGTTCGTATATATCTTTCTAGTGTTTCCTTATATAAATACAAGCTAAGAAGTTAGCATATATTCTTATTTTCCCCCCTTTCCTCTAATGAACCTAGTATTGAATCTTGCTTTATTGTTTACTTATCAATGTATACTGGAGATATTTCCATGTTTGCGCATAGAGAGTTTCCTCATTAATTTCTTTTTACAACTGCATAGAATGTTGTTGTGTAGTTGTGTCATGGCTTTGCCGTCCTTGTGATGGATCCATGGATGTTTCTAATCTTTTGCTATTCTGAACAATGCTCTGAAGTATTCTCTTGTATGTGTGTCATTTTATACATATGTAGTTACATCTGCAGGATAGCTTCCTAGAGGAGGCCTTTCTGGCTCAAAGAGTATGTATATTTGAAAATTTGAAAGATATTGTCAGACTGCTTTCCCTAAGGGTTTCATGGTTTTGCAGAGTATGTAAATGTCTGTCTCTCCACAAACTCTCCAACTGTGTTGTCAAACTTTCGAAAACTTGTCAAATTTTTGAATTTTTCCCAATGTAAGAGGTGAAAATAAAATCTCACTATAGTTTCACTGTACATTTCTCTTATTGTCAGGGAGGTTAAGTATAGTTTTATATGTCCAGGGGATGTTTGTATTTATTTGTGCACTAGTTAGCATGTCTGATGCCTGGTTGTTGTTTTTTTTCCTTAACTTGTTGAACTTTTTATTCTTAAGTTTTAGGATGTATACATTTAGACATACACATGAGTCTGTGCATTGCAGGATTTAGGCCTTGATTCTGATATATACTGTAACTTTTCCCACAGTGTGTGTGTGTGTGTGTATATGTGTGTGTGTGTGTGTGTGTGTGTGTGTGTGTGTGTGTGTGTATAATGTTTTTGACTTGGCTATTGGTATTTTTTCCCCTTAAGGAGAAATTATTTGTATTTATGTTGTTAAATTCATCAATTTCCCTTTTAGAAATGGCTTTTGGATTTTATGTCCTAAGGCCTTCCCCAATATAAGGTTTAAAAAAAATCGCCTATATTTCCTCTACTTCTTTTATATTTTCATATTTTTTAATATTCAAAGCTTTAATTTATTTGGAGTTAATATACAGTATACAGTATGAGGTACAGATTTTAGACTATATCTTTTCATATTGCTTTCCTGTTACGCCAACACCACTTATTTAAAAGTTTGCCTTTACTGATTTAAGATGCTCTTTGATATTATATAAAATTCATATACTTATCTAGGTCTATTTCTGGACTTTCTATTCAATGCCCGTATTTTTCCTGTACATTTATGTATGCGTTTCACAGTCATTTAATAATTGAAGCTTTATAATATGTTTTAATAGCCAATATGGGTAGAGCTATCTTATTGCTCTTCTTTTTTGAAGTTTTCCTGACAGTATGTATTTATTTTTCTATAAGAACTTTAAAGTTAGACATATTTTAAAATCAGTGTTAGATTAGTTTTAAAATTAATTTTAGGTGAAGTGCAGTGGCTCACACCTGTAATCCCAGCACTTTGGAAGACCAAGGTGGGAAGATCTCTTGAGTCCAGGAGTTCGAGACCAGCCCGGGCAACACAGGGAGACCTTGTCTCTACAAGAAATTAAAAACATTAGCCGAGTGTGGTAGCACGCACTTCTAGTCCCAGCTATGCAACAGGCTGAGGTGGCAGGATCACTTGAGCCTGGGAGGTCGAGGCTGCAGTGAGCCATGATAGTGCCACTGCACTACAACCTGGGTGACAGGGCAAGACCTCATCTCGAAAAATAAACTGGTAAAATTAACTTTAGGAGAATAGATATTTTATAATGTTGACTCTCTCTAGTTAAGAATATGTTACCGTAGAGAAGGCAAAACTATTCCTCTACCCTCTTAGGGTCTCCACCAGGCCTGAGAATTAAGTTGACATGAAACAGATTAACAGGAGAAAAGCACACAGGTTTTATTTTAACAAGTACATAGGAAACTTCACAGGAAAATGAAGACCCAAAAAGTGGTCTTTGTACAAAGTTTCTTTGTACAGATTTCTCTTGGCCTTGACTCCCTGCCTCTGGTGATAAGAGTGTTCTTTTCCTTCAGGTACAGGGAAGGTATCTTTCCTGTGAGAGTTTCATGTCCTGCCTTCAGGAAGAAAAGGGGAGGTCAGAGTGCCCTTCCTGCATCTTGCTGTGTTTCAAGTGCTTTTAACTCAAAAAACAATCTTTATGCCAAACTGGTCTATTTTGGCATATTCTGCTACCCTTTGCTATGCTTTCCTCAGTTCGTCTTAGTCTTTTTTTCCTTGTTTCTTCATGTGTGTTTCAGCTTTCCTCACATAGATTTTGCATTTCTTGAAGAGTTTAAACCTCTGGCAAAACCAAACAAAAAATGTTTTTGGTATTTTAAATGGATTATTTATCCAATTTGTATTGTAACTAGTTTATCTATCATCTATCTATCATCTATCTGTCTGTCTGTCTGTCTGTCTGTCTGTCTGTCTATCTATCTATATCTATCTATCTATCATCTATCTATCTATCATCTGTCTATCTATCTATCTATCTATCTATCTATCTATCATCTATCTACTATTGATTTCTGCATGTTAGTTTGATATCTCAGCCAACTTTCTAAATTTATTATGCATTAGTTCATTCTCATGCTGCTATGAAGAAATACCCAAGACTGGGTAATTTATAAAGAAAAGAGGTTTAATTTACTCACAGTTCCACATGGCTGGTAAGGCCTCAGGAAACTTACAATCATCGCAGAAGGCAAAGGGGAAGAAAGGCACCTTCTTCACATGGCGGCAGGGAGGAGAAGTGTTGAGTAAAGGGGGAAAAGCCCCTCATAAAACCAACAGACCTCATGAGAAACTCACTCACTATCACGAGAATAGCATTGGGGTAACTGCCCCCATGATTCAATTACTTCCCACTACATTCCTCCCATGACACATGGGGATTATAGGAACTACAATTCAATATGAGTTTTGGGTGGGGACACAGCCAAACCATGTCATATTATTTGTAAAAATTTAAAAAAATTCTTTCAGTTGAATTCTCTTAGGATTATCTGGTTTGTAATCACATCATTTCAATGATTCTTTTACCTCCTACTTCCCAATTTTTAGATTTCCATTTTCTTTTTCTTATCTACTTATGTTAATTATGTCAGTCAGGATTTACCTGGAGAAATAGAACCGCAGGATTTATTGTAGGGACCTGACTTGACATAGGTGTGGGAGATAGTTAAATGGTGTTTACAGGAGGCTGTTCCTTCAATGTCTGTTGCTGTGGCCTGAAGTAAGCAGGGCAGGGACTCAGGAAGGGAAGATAGACATGAACTGAGTGCTTCAAGGACAAACTGGAACCTGCAAAGATGAGCGAGTAAAGCCCACCATTGTAAACTGGAATTCATCTTGTTCTTTCACTGCCCCTTAGCCTTCAACTTCAAAAATGGGTATGTCCTGTAGAAGTTGTCCGTCACAGTGCTAATGTACTTGGATCAGAAGCCAGGGTACATGAAGGAGGAGATCCTGCAGGAGCTGGCTCTGCTGTGGCCTGGTTGAGCCCTCTACTAACAAAGTGATAGAACAGAGAAACAACAGTGCTTGTGAACTGCAGTCACATCCTGTGCTCTGCCCTGACCTTTCTAGCATATGGAGTATGGCTCTACTAATTCACATCTACCGTCTTTTATGGGCCATACTAACTTGGCATTATGTATGGAAGATAATTCTGGGAAACATAATTACAGCTTAGCTAAGTTGACACAACATAAATCTACCACAGCTCACTCCTTGTCAAATGTGATATTTGTATACACTAGTTTTAACCATACTTAGCTTAATTTCCAAATAAAGTCAATAGCAAAGTAATACTCACATTTTACATAATGCAACTATCCCTCATACACCCAAAAACATGGAAATTCTTTTCCTAAAAGAGAATTCCCTTTGAGCTGAGTCATATCTCCCCTTTGATATTCTATAACTTAAATATTGAGATGTAAGGTAAGCCACTACAAACACATCTTATACAGTAGGGGAAGGAAAGGGGTAAAAAGAAACACAATTAATGTAATGTCCATTTATATTAAAATAAGAAAGAAATATTCACAACTTTTATGGTCCTTGTTTATGCAACTGGTCATGTGGTTGTAGCAGATATTTATAACGATGTTTCTGTTACTTATTCCATATTCTCTTTGCCCTCAGCAAGCACTTCATCTGTCGTTGGTTCCTTGCCCAATGGGGTCACCTAAACTTTTATTCTTGAATGGTCTGGGCCATCAGCAGTCCTGCCTGATTTGGGTTATTATAGTTTTTTGTTGATTTTAATTATAGGGCATTGGAGTGTAAGGGGGTGCACCCAGTATGTCTGGGTGCCCTGCATTCCAGACATACTCATCTTTACCATCACTGTGCAGAAGCAATCTAATTTTTCCCTTCATTATCAGGATTAGTCACACCAACCATCAAAGTGGACTCCTTCTTTGCCTTACCTTCACTTGCATGAGGGTCCAGAGTTGACAGGTCTCAACCTCCAAGCTTAATTTAGGGTTTTCAGGTAAAATACAGGATGCCCAGTTAAATTTGATTTTCGGGTAAACAACAAATAATTTTAGTGTATGTTCCATGCAACATTTGGATCACACTTAAACTAAAAAAAGTGTTCATTGTTTACATGAAATTCACATTTAACTAGGCACCCTGTATTTGTATTTGCTAAATCCGGCAACTCTAATTTTTGGAACTCTTGCTGCGTCCCCCAGTAGAAGCATTCTTCCACTGAAGACTTCCAAACTGACTGGGCCAGGTGCAGTGGCTCACGCCTGTAATTCCAACACTTTGAGAGGTTGAGGTGGGAAGATCACCTGAGCCCAGGAGTTCAAGACCAGCCTGAGCAACATAGCGAAACCCATCTCTAAAGAATAAAAAAATTTAAAAAACAGAAAATAAAAGAAATAAAAAGACTTCTAGATTAACCAAGAATGTTACTTATTTTTATGTTTTAAAATTTACAGTTGTTTTATGGCGCATCATGATATACAATCAACTTTCATTAATATTTCAACAGGCACTGGAATGAAGGATTTTCTTTATTAGTAGTATATAGAGTTTGCTATATACACATCAGATTTACTTTCTTTTTTTGAGACAAGTTCTCCCTCTATCACACAGGCTGGAGTGCAGTGGTGCAGTCTTGGCTTACTGTAGCCTGGACTGCCCTGGCTCAAGCAATCCTCTTGCCTCAGCCTTCTGAGTAGCTAGGCCTACAGGCATGTGCCATGATGCCTGGCTAAAGTTCAAACTTTTGTAGAGATGAGGTCTTGTTATGTTGCTCATGCTTGTCTAGAACACCTGGGCTCAATGGATTCTCTTGCCCCGGTCTTCCAAACTGCTGAGATTACAGGCATGAGCCACTGTTCTCAGTCAGATCTACTTTCTTGATAAGTTGTTTTGAATATTTTATTATGCTTGTCTTTATATACCTTAAGCATGAAGATAGGAGTTAAAGTAAATTAATAATTTTATAATTATTTTAACCATTATAAAATAATTTAATGATAATTAGCATATTTTGATTATTTTTCTTGTCTCATATACTTCTGTTTTATTAAAATTGCTGCTACATACATATTTTGCTACATAAAGATTCATAGCTCTTCACTGAAAATCAAAATCTTTAACATATAAAGTACCCATTGTGTGTCATTTAATAATCTTGGTTCTGATGTCCAACTTATGGGATATTAAAATTATTATCTTTGGTTTTCTTTTGAATTTGCTTGGTATAATTTTATGCTGTCTTTTATTTTTAATCTGTCTGAAACACTTTTAGGTTTGTCTCCTGTATATAACAGAGCTGAATTTTCTCCAATTAAAAGCTGTTTTTCTTTCATTAGGAGTTTACATTTATTGATGTGAGTGATACTTATAGACTTGGTTTTATCATATTATTTCATATTTTGTTATATATGTATGTGTATATTTATTTTCTATTAAAAATATATGGTGGTATTTAGGAAGGTTCAAAATTTGTTTCTAGTGGTGACCTATATACATTTAAATTTATATAATATCATTATTCCTCTTTATCTTTAGACAGTTTAAATTGGTTCCTTGTTATAAACAACAATAAACTTATCTTGTATTCTTACCCCTCCTTCACCCCTTCTATCTTCCCTACCAGTAAATTTGTATCATTTGTATTATCTTAGTGTTTATTTTGTATTTAACATTAATGTGAAATATTCATATGTGTCTATGGTTGCTTTCATTCTCAACTTTGCAAATGATCAGGCAATAAGGGAATTTATTTTACCCTCTCTTCCCTGTCTCTATTTTTTCTTAGTTATACTATTTCAGTGCTGTCTGAGCATATAACATTTATATTTCCTTCAGTCACACTTAAAATCACATTTGTTTTTTCTTAGATCTGCATGTACAATGTTTGCTACCATTTTTGTTTATTTTGGCTAAAGTTGCCATTGTCATCTCTTGGTTGGCTGTAGTTTGTCCTATGGTGGTTTCCAAAAAAAAGTCCCAAGTGAAAATTATTCTTTGAGTTCTTGCAGGTTCAGATAATATATCTGAGGCATTGATACCTAGAAGATAATGGGGCTTGATATAGTCCTTGGCTCATCCTTTCTTTTCTTGGATGTCTTATAGGTACTGCTGCACTATCTTTTGCTAGTGAATACTACTGATCTGAAATTTCTTCTCATATGGCTTGATCTTTGTTTGACTATCTAAATTATTATTCTTTATCTTTGAAACCTAATACTTTTACTCTTAGTTGTTTTGGTAGAAATCACTTGGTTTAATTTTTTGCTACTATGTGATGTGCAATTTTAATATGTAGATTGACGTATTGTTTTATTTTAGTAACATTTACTTGAAATATATATATTTTTTGAGTCAAGGTCTCACTCCCTTTGCCCAGGCTGGAGTGCAGTGGCACGATCATAGCTCACTGCAGCCTCAACTTCCTGGGCTCAAGCAATCCTCCCACCTCAGCCTCTCAAGTAGCTGGGACTACAGGAGAGCAGCACCATGCCCAGCTGATTTTTGTATTTTTAATAGAGATGGGGTTTTGTCATATTGGCCAGGCTGGTCTTGAACTCCTGGTCTCAAAGAATTCACCTGCCTCAGCGTCCCAAAGTACTGGTATTACAGGAGTAAGCCACCACACCTGGCCTGAAACAAATTTTTAAAAAGCTATTTTGTTCTACTTGGATTCCTTCTTTAGGTTATCCAATTAAGCCTATGTTGATTCTCTTTTGCTTGTTACCTATATCTATTAGTTTTCTCTTATCTTTTCCGTTTGTTTCATTTTTGTTGATTTTCTCATTTTTATCCTCTGTTTTCCTTATTGTGTATGGCTTCCATAAGGGAAAGTGAAAAGAATCAGAACTAAGATGCTGTTGAAACACTAAGGTGTTCCCATTGAAACAACCAGAAACAATATTTTGCACTTAGTCTCTGGGCTAGGTTGGAAAAACTACATTTTAAAGAAATTTTAAAGTAAAGAAATACTTAATTGTAGTTGTAGTTGAGATATATTTTCTTGAAGTTATTATTCAATAAATTCCACAGGCTCTTAGATTGCTGAAGGTGACATTTGCTTTAGTGTTCTATCACATTGTAAGTTTATTCCTTGATGATGCTACAATTTGATATCATTGATGATTATCAATATCCTTGATGATGCTACAATTTGTAATCATTCATATCTTTTGTTTTTTTCTGTTAGCATAAGATAGAGGGCAGGAAGACGAACTGAGGAAAGAGTAGGACATATCAAGAGCCGTAAAAATGGAAGTGGTGAACTGAAAGCTAATGATGTATGGGAATAAGACACCCACCTGGAAGTCAGAGGAAGCTTCAAGCCAAAGATGGGGAGATTGTGGACTCAGTAATCTAGCTGGTACTCTCACCCAGAGACAACCACAGAACACGCTGAAGCCAGCCTTTTATTGTTGTGCTTGAGCTCTGGATGAACTGCATTCCTGATCCCTAGTAGATGCTCAGTAACAGATTAAGGAATGAGGGTCCAAAGGAAAAAACACACGCATCTCATTGCAGTAATGAAATTTTACTGAATGGAGTGCTTAATGGGAAATGATATCCAAGAACATATGATTTCCTTATTTTAATATTGAGTAACAATTCTATTTGCTCAGACCTCTTTAATTTAATTTAGGGTAGGAGGAATTCCATTAAAATCTTTGATCTATCTTATTCAGATTTTTCTTAATTGGCTCAACCACTAGTCGTTGTGAAGTCCAAGATAGAGGAGTTGGCT